>NC_000003.12:125220725-125372240 GCF_000001405.40 Homo sapiens | reverse complement strand
TGCTGGATGAGATGATAAAGAGAAGTTTGGATGGACCTATCAGAAAGACCATGTTGTAGGAACCATCTTTGCAGTGTAAGATTTGCTTGTTAGAGATGAAGAGGAGTTGCTTGACAATGATAGTTGTTCATCTTGGAATTAGTTACCAGATTGCAGTATTTTTTTTTTTTTTTTTTTGAGACGGAGTCTCGCTCTGTCACCCAGGCTAGAGTGCAGTGGTGTGATCTCGGCTCACTGCAAGCTCTGCCTCCCAGGTTCACGCCATTCTCCTGCCTCAGCCTCCCGAGTAGCTGGGACTACAGGCTCCCACCACCACGCCCGGCTAATTTTCTGTATTTTTAGTAGAGACGGGGTTTCACCGTGTTAGCCAGGATGATCTCGATCTCCTGACCTCGTGATCTACCCGCCTCCGTCTCCCAAAATGCTGGGATTACAGTCATGAGTCTCCGCGCCCGGCCTGATTGCAGTATTCTTTGACAGTCTTCTGGAGAGTTTTAGTGTGGGAAATCTGGAAATGCATTAAAATGACCCTTGAATGTTTTTTCTAGGGTTCTGTGGCAATTCTTTTTTTTTTTTTTTTTTGGGACGGAGTCTAGCTTTGTCGCTCAGGCTGAAGTGCAGTGGCACGATCTCGGCTCACTGCAACCTCTGCCTCCTGGGTTCAAGCAATTCTCCTGCCTCAGCCTCCTGAGTAGCTGAGATTACAGGTGCCCGCTACCACACCTGGCTAATTTTTTTGTGTTTTTAGTAGAGACAGGGTTTCACTGTAGATGGTCTCGATCTCCTGACCTCATGATCTGTCCGCTTCGGCTTCCCAAAATGCTGGGATTACAGGCGTGAGCCACTTCGCCCTGCCCCCCCCCCCCCCTTTTTTTTTTTTTTTTGAAACAGGGTCTCACTTTGTCACCCAGGCTGAAGTGCAGTGCGCATGTTCCCAGCTCACTGCAGCCTCCACCTCCTGGGCTCAAGCAATCCTCTCACCTCAGCCCCACAAGTAGCCGGGAATACAGGCATGAGCCACCACTCCCAGCTAACTTTTTTTGTATTTTTTATAGAGACGGGGTTTCGTCATGTTGCCCAGGCTGGTCTTGCACTCTTGGGCTCAAGTGGTCTGCTTGCCTCAGCCTCCCAAAGTGCTAGGATTACAGGCGTGAGCCACCGTGCCCGGCCACAATTCTTATGTTTTTATTTTTAGGAGGTAATGGATTGGCATATACATGTGTTTTTTGGGGGGATGTAGTAGGGAGAGATGGGAAATGTGGTAAGAGGAGGATGAGGATGAGGAACAGGGTTTGATGGAGGTGGTGATACATTTTGAGGAGGCTGAAGAAAAGGTAAAGAATTTTGAGGGGGATTTGGATATAGTTAATGTGAAGGAGGTTTACCTTATGGTGATGAGACTAAAATTTTTGTCATTTTTAAGGAAATTAGCATGTTTAAGTCACTAATATGTTGGGAATGTGGTAGGAAAAAACTATACTGGGCCCAATCTCCTCTGTTAGGTTAGAGTCATAAAATATTAATGTTTTTGAAATTTGTGTATGAGGTGCAAATCACTATGGTGGATGTTGGGAGATTAGAAAGATAATTACTCCACTTCTTTTTGGGAGTCTAAGTAATGGCAACTCTTGAGAGTCTTCCTTACTTTCAGTAGTAACAGTATTCACATGTAGTTTATGTATTGCTAAATTTTGTATTTGTGACAATTATTCTCTTTGTTTTGCAAATGGTACATTGTAACCTGTTCTAGAGCAGAGACTTCCTGTAGTCTCTAGGGAAACTAACAGCAGGTTGATTCTTAAGTGCTTAATAAATACCTGTTGAATGACTGATAGAAAGTAGTGTTCACTGTTAGTGATAATAGTGGGATTGTATGAAATTGCTGAGTACTTTGGGGGTATTGTAGGCAAAACTGTGTGTGTGTGTGTTTGACAGCGTGAAGGACAAAAGGGATATCTGGAGAGGACCTTTAGATTTAAGGGAAGAAGACAGACTGGATTAGAATGGAATTGCAGTGGTTCTGTAACAACTTGGAAGAGGTGGGACCAAGGGGTCTCTTCTAAATTTGAAGCTAGTTTAATCTGGAGTAAAATCTGGTCTGTAGCAGGGTGCTGGTTTAATTTAGATTTTTTTTTTTTACCTCAGGCATAAATGACTGTTTTAGGACTGTCTGATTTAATTCTTTTTTAGGATAGTAAAAATAACAGATAAGCTTCTTCTCTCAAGGAATTTGTAGTATTTACAATTTTTTTTTTTTTGAGACGGGGTCTTGCTCTGTTGCCCAGGCTGGGGAGCAGTGGTGCGATCTCAGCTCACTGCTGGGTTCAAACTCCGCCTCCTGGGTTCAAACAATTCTCCTGCCTCAGCCTCCCAAGTAGCTGGGATTACAGGAGCGTGCCACCATGCTCAGCTAATTTTTGTATTTTTAGTAGAGGTGGGGTTTCACCATTCTGGCCAGGCTGGTCTTGAACTCCTGACCTCAGGTGATCCTCCCACCTTGGCATCCCAAAGTAGTATTTACATTCTTTTGAGAGAGAAAGACAGTTGTGAAATAATTCAGTAATGGTATAAGATTTCAGAAAGTTGATTTTTAAAAACAAATATCAAAATTATATCTCCAGATAAGAACTTTTATATTTCGGTGGTCATTTTCAGTAGCAGTGTTCAGAATGTTTTTAGAACACCTTTTCTGAATTAACTTCTGAGTACAATTCTATAGAATTTACCTATTTATTGAGTATCTAGTGTGTGCTGTTGGGGGAAGGGGTCTATAAAGGTGAGCGAAACATGGTCCCTGTTTGCTAGGAGTTCATAATCCCTTCAAGAGGCACACTTTTTTTTTTTTTTTTTTTTTTTGAGGTTGCAGTATTCTTTGTCTTCTGGAGAGTTTTAGTGTGGGAAATCTGGAAATGTATTAAAATGACCCTAGAATGTTCTTTCTAGGCTTCTATGGCTTTTTTTTTTTTTTTTTTTTTTTTTGAGGCAGGATCTCACTCTGTCACTCAGGCTGGAGTCCGGTGGTGTGATCTTGGCTCACTGCAACCTCCGCCTCCTGAGTTCAACTGATTCTCGTGCCTCAGCCTACCAAGTAGCTGGGACTAGAGGCACACACCAGCACACCCAGCTAATTTTTGTATTTTAAGTAGAGACACGGTTTCACCATGTTGGCCAGGCTGGTCTCGAACTCCTGGCCTCAGGTGATCTGCCTGCCTTAGCCTCTCAAAGTGCTGGGATTACAGGTGTGAGCCACTGCGCCGAGCCCAAGAGGCACACTTTTGTTTGTTTGTTTGTTTTTTGAGATGGAGCCTCTCTCTGTCACCCAGGCTGGAGTGCAGTGGCGCCATCTTGGCTCACTGCAACCTCTGCCTCCCAGGTTCAAGCGATTCTCCTGCCTCAGTCTCAGAGTGGCTGGGACTACAGGCGTGCACCACCACTTCTGGCAATTTTTTGTATTTTTTAGTAGAGATGGGGTTTCGCCGTGTTGGCCAGGCTGGTGTCGAACTCCTGGCCTCAAGTGATCCACTCACCTTGGCCTCCCAAAGTGCTGTGATTTCAGGCATGAGTCATCACACCCGGCCAAGAGGCACACTTTTAAATAATACATGGTATAATCTTATTCTGAATGGTCTTATTGATGACAGATCTTTTTACTTTGAAATTTTGATTTTTAGAAATGCTGAAGGTTAGTCAATATCAAATAGAGTGAATGAAAAATAGTTTTGCCTTAAATCCAGTTAATCACAGAAACGGGAATAATTTTCTTGGTTGACTTATTAGCTGATTTTGAAAACACTCCCAAGGAGGAAGTTGGAAATATTTTGAACAGGGGTGATAGCTTCACATGTAGTTAGTTAGGCACTACATAAATGTTGGTTGAGTGCATCAGATGGTTGGATGGATGGAGTGAATAAATGAGTAAGTGGTAGCCTTCCAAAGTAACTTATTTTAAAGAGGACCATACTGATTTGAATGTGTAAATAAATTTTTTAAAAACTCATTTTTCTCAGATGAAATAAATTCTGAGTATGTTTGTTAATAATTTTATTACCTTGAGCAAGATAGTTTAAGTTCACAAATGAGTTTTACAGACAGTAAGTGCTGTAGGAGTTCAGGGAATGGAGAAATGAACATTGGCTAAGGTTTGGTGAAATGATTTAAGTGAACCATACTTATATTTGAAAAGATTCCTTAGGGATCTCAGAGAGGAACTAAATGACTCCAAATTCCTCTTGCAGCCCTAAAGTGAACCTAGAGTCTGGATCTATTTTTGTCTGAATGCTTTCTGCCTGTTTCATTTTAGCTACTCCTACTGGTTTGTTCCTTTCAGATTCACATTTGTTGGTAGATGTTGAGCCCCCTGAAACAACTATGGGGTCTGTTTTCCGTCTTCGTATAGTGTAACTTTTAGTTGTTCTTTTATGAGCCTGTACCCCACAAATTACTTGGCCTTCATGAGAGAAGAGCATGAGTCAACTTGGCCCTGTTATCCTGGCATTTTCCTGCATGCTTTTCTCAAAGCTGCTTTCTGAATTACGGAATAGAATAGACAGAACTGAGGGCATGTGTCCAGTAGACACGAGCTTGTTGAATGAATGAATGAATGAATGAATGAGATATTTGAGATAATTTAGGAGATCTGAATTGTCTATATGTTTTATGTTTCTTTTTCATTTATTCATAACCTGCCTTTTTCTACAAAGGACTTAACAGGGCTGCCAAACTATATGCACTAGCAATGAATTGAAATAATTCAATAAATCTGGTTAAAGAGATGATGAAGAAAAGAAAAATCTGTTTAAAGAATATAGATCAATGTGTATCGGTGTTAGAGAACTAGGAATAAGGTAGAAGATAAGCAGATGGGGAAGGAAAGGTGGTATCTGATAGAAAGCATGATTCTGAAGGAGGGAAAAGATTACTGAAATATGACAGGCTATCTTTGGAGGAAAGCATGAGAAGATGGAGGGTAAAGAGGATTATTTGAGACGGCTGTTTTGAGGAGGAAGATGGTAAGGCTATTTGAAGGATAAGAGTCAACAGAAGTTTGGAATATAGTAGAAGTTATTAAATTATGTTGATTTATAACAAGGTTTCAGAAAATGATGGGATGAGCTTTATTTAACAGATAATGCACATTTGTTATATGCAAAAGCATATAATGCTTTGCTGTCAGGAATAAAACCTTTGGGATTTATATTGTGGTAGGGCAGCTGGACTTGTGCACAAATACCTGTACTATAATCACAAATATATCTGTGAGTCACAAATATACCAAATATTACTGAATTTAAAAGGCAGAAAATGCATTTGATTAGGAGAAAACCTGAGACAGAACTTTAAAGGCATAAAAGTGGAATTTTAGCTAGTCTTTGAAGGGATTGATAAGATTTTTTTTTTTAAGTTTTGGATTGATAGGATTTTGATTGGCAAAGATTACTGAAAGAGAGCATTCCTGCCTGAGAGATTAGCGTAAGCAAAGGCTTGGAGGTGAGAAGCCCAGGAGATGTGGGGAATGGTGAGTTAGGTTTTAATTTTTAAACTATGACCTATAGTAAGAAATACATGTCACACTTCTATCTAATATATGCATGTATGAATGTTTGTGTGTGGGTAAAACAAGAAGTTTCATAATACAGTAACTGTCCTTAACAGTGGCAGGTGCAGTTGGATGTTATCTATTTTGTTTGACTAAAAAGAAAAAAAGCTGGCCAAGGGGGAAGAAAAAAAAGCTGATTGTCACTCATTAAACTGATTTCATGACCGACAAAATAATTAATCACAATCTATAGTTTGGAACGCAGAGAGTTCATGAATAAGGTATAATACAAGGTAGGAGAGTCAGTTGGGGTTGGGTTGAAAATGGATGGCCTTGAAAGCTAAGCTAAGTAGTTTGTATTTGATATGATGTAGTGTTGTGCTTGGTAAGCAAACAGAAGCTGGGTTTTAGTCTTGGCTCTTCTGTTTACCCACTGTATGATTATGGAGAATTATTTCCTTTCTGAGTTTCCATTTTCTCATAAAATTGATAATCATACTTTCCTGGCAAGGGTTATGGTGAGGATGTGAGAATTAAAGTATGTTAACATATGATTAAAGTATGTTAGCAGAAATCATTAGTGTATAGCTGTTGAACTTTTCTGAGTAGAGAATTGAGCCAAGGACCGTATATTAGATAGCTGGCAATAGCTATACCTTACTGGGTAGATTGCGGGTAATGTGGTGGTAGAGTAAGATTGTATGTGAAAAGACCAGTTAGAAAACAAAAAGACCAGTTAGGTGGCTACTGGAGATATTAAGAAGGGCTTGAATTAGTTTGATAGCAGTAGGATTAGAATATGGAAGTGGAATGCAGTTGGAGGTAGGGAAGAGGGGAAGATGACTAGAAATATGCTATTTATTTATTTATTATTGAATGAACGAACGTGAGGCTCTTGATCTGTTGCCCAGGCTGGAATGCAGTTGTGTGAACGCAGCAGCTCACTGCAGCCTCTACCTCGTGGATTCAAGTGATCCTCTTGCCTCAGCCTTCCGAGTACCTGGGACCACAGGCATGTACCACCACGCCTGGCTAATTTTCAATTTTTTTTGTAGAGATGTGGTCTCACCATGTTGCCTGGGCTGATCTCAAACTCTTGGGCTCCAGTGATCCCCTCCCTCAGCTTCCCAAAGTGTTGGGATTACAGGTGTGAGCCACCATGCCTGGCTGACTGGAAATTTAGAGTTGTAGAAATATTCAAATGGCAGCAGCTGAAATTGGATTATATTTTTGGGTAGTTTAGTGCAGTACATTAGAGTATAATTTTAGTTTCTTTCATGTAGTAGGTGCTCAATTATTTGTTGAATGATAGAAACTAAATACGTGGACTGTGGGATGAATTGTGAGTAGAAGCAGTGATGGGTGGATGTGAGAAGGAGGGTTAGACTGGAGGATACTTTGATGGACTGCCAGAATTTATTCGTTCAGGGTATATTTTTATATTTACTGTATGCAATGGACTGCCAGAATTTATTCATTCAGGGTATATTTTTATATTTACCATGTGCAAGGTTCTATGGTAGGGAGTGTGAAGGATACATGTTTATATATGACACAGTCCGTGTTCTTCAGGAATTTATCCAGGGACAAAACATACACATCCATCTATGACACAAGTACTGTGGCAGGTTTGTTCAAGGTTGGCTTTGTGGAGAAATTGGTGCGAAGCTTAGACCTTGAAGGATAAATAAGATAATAGGCAAGAAGGTGAGGGTTGGCTTTCCTAGAAGAAGGAGTGATATGAGTGACAGTGAGCAAAGTTCAGGACATGTTTAGGGGTTGGTGGTCTAGATTAGCTATAATTTAGGGTTCATGTTGAGGAATGGAGGGAAATAAAGCTGGGAAGTAGGCAGACTATCTCAAAAATTCAGGCTAACTTGGATTTTGAAAATGTATTTATTGAGATAAATACAGTAAAGTGCTCCAATCTTAAGGGCACTTAGGTATAAATTTATGTAGCCACCACCCAGTTCAATATACAGGACATTTCCGACTTCCAGAAGGATGCCTCATGTGCCATTTCCAAGCTGATATCTCATCCAACCAAAAATAACTATTATTCTGACTTTTGTCATAACAGAGTAGTGTTGTGTGTTTTTGAATTTTGTATAAGTGGAACCCAATTTCTGTGTCTAGTTCCTTTTTCTCAAGGAGCATGTCTGTGAGTTTTATCCATGTTATGTTTGGCTGTTTATTCTTTTTTCATTGCTGTGTGGTATTCTATCATATGAATATACCACAGTGTATTTATCTATTCCATGATTATTGGATGGTTTCAAGTTTTTTGAAGTCTGAGGTGTTCTGTTTGTTTTTTTCAGGCAGAGTCTCACTCACCCAGGCTGGAGTGGTGCGATGTCTGCTCACTGCAACCTCCGCCTTCTGGGTTCAAGCTATTCTCCTACCTTAGCCGCCCTAGTAGCCAGGATTACAGGCATGTGACACCACGCCCAGCTAATTTTTGCATTTTTAGTAGAGACAGGGTTTTGCCATATTGGCCAGGCTTTTCTCAAACTCCTCACCTCAAGTGATCTGCCCACCTCGGTCTCCCAGAGTGCTGGGATTACAGGCATGAGCCACCATACCTGGCTGAAGTCTGAGGAGTTTTAACTTAAGTCAGTATGCAGTGGAGAACCAGTGTTGATTTTTGAACGGGTAAATAAGAGACTATTTAAGAATACTAATCTGGTGACCTTTCTCTTTTTGTAATGAAGAGAACCTGGTGACTGGGAGACAAAGTTAGGAAAAAGTGTGAAGTAGGCTGGACACAGTGGCTTATGCCTGTAATCTCAGCATTTTGGGAGGCTGAGGCAGGCAGATTGCTTGAGCTCAGGAGTTTGAGACCAGCCTAGGCAACATGGCGAAACCTTGTCTCTGCAAAGATAAAAAAATTAGCGGGGCATGGTGGCACATGCCTGTAGTTCCAGGTGCACGGGAGGCTGAGGCAGGAGAATGACTTGAACCCAGAAGGCAGAGGTTGCAGTGAGCTGAAATCTACACTCCAGCCTGGGTGACAGAGGGAGACCCTGTCTCAAAAAAAAAAAAAAAAAGTGTGAAGTATTGAGGGTATAAGTTGGGTAGTCATAGTGGGAATAAAAGGAGAGGGATAGCTATAAGAAATACCTCAAAGAAAGAATGGGAAGGTTTGATGGCAGATAGGCTTTTGGGAAACAGTAGAGAAAAAGAAAACTGAAGAAAAGCTCTAGGGCTTTTAATCTGGGTGACTGAGATTGATGGTGCCATTAGTAGAAATTATTAGATCACTTAGCAGAACTGTTTTGGGGTTTTAAGACACATTGACCTGTGTGTGAGGCATCAGTACTGGATTGGAGCTAAGAAAAGAAGTCCAATATAGAGTTGGGAATACATACATAGAGTTGATAATTATATAGCTACTAATTTTGGATTTAGTTAGGGCACTGACGGTTATGAAATTATTTGGACTGATAATTGAAGTGTTAATTGAAGTAATAGTTGAAGAATCTAGTTAAAAAGAAATCATTATGCATTCCAATTCTAGTTAAAAAGAAATCATTATATATTCTAATTCCTCAGGAGTAAATTGGATTGTAGGAGAGGGTGATGGTTTAAAGATTATTTTGGGTAGCTGGGGGAAGACAGCCATATGAAGAATGAAAATGTAGAAACAGTGGTGAGGGATGAGACCCTCAGTGGCTGAGAATTATAGGAGGCTCCAGGTCAGACCTTGGGAAAATATCCACAATTTGGGCTAGGAAGAGCAGCAGTGATTTCAGATAGAAGAAACAACCAGAGAGGTCAGAGTAGAATCATTACAGTGACATAAAGCAAGGTGGGTAGCTTAAGTGTCATTGCCAAAAAGAGGGTAAGGACTGGCCAAGCATGGTAGCTCATACCTGTTATTTCAGCAGTTCGGGAGGCTGAGGTGGGCATATTGCTTGAGCTCAGGAGTTCGAGACCATGCTGGGCAACATGATGAAACCTCATCTCTACCAAAGATAACAAACTTTGCTGGGTGTGGTGGCGCGCACTTGTAGTCCCAGCTACTTGGGGGGCTGAGGTGGGAGGATCACTTGAGCTTGGGAGGCGGAGGTTGCAGTGAGCTGGTATTGAACCACTGCACTCCAGCCTGGGTGACAGAGTAAGAGCCCGTCTCAAAAAAAAAACAAAAACAAAAACAAAAAAAGGGTAAGGACTTTGGTGGGGGATCATATGATTTGGAACATAGATTTTTTAGTTTTTGTTTTTTTTTGTGGTCTTCAAGAGAGCAGTTCAGAGACCAGGGTGCATGGTGGTTTACTGAGTGGGTTGGAAGAATATGGAAGCAATAAATACAGGAATTGATTAAAGAAGTTTAGTTTGAGAAGGAAGAACAACAACTCTTATTCTAAAACTGGAGGCAAGAAGTAACAGATGGATGAAGTTACAGCATTTTAGAAGCTGTGAAGAGGATTTGATTACAGGTGGAGAAGGTGTGATTTGAGGGAATTTTATAGAAGGGTTCGAGTATTTGTTGGAATTAGGGATTTAAATATGAAAATGATTTGGATTAGTCAATGAGACGGAGAGTTGTATTTAGAATAAATCTGTTGTGGAAGATTTCATAGCTTTCTGGTGGTGCTTAACACCCAGTGCGTGGGCATGGAGAAAACAGATGGTGAGGATTGTCTATCACTGGGGAGATGCATAGTGAGAATAATGGAAGGTCATGATATTCTGGAGAGGACAGTGTTAAAATGGCTGTTGGACAGGTTTAAATTATATAGGGAGACAATAAAGCCAAGTGGAGGTAAAGAGCAGGTCTACAACTAGAACATAAAGTAGTTGTGGATAAAGAAAAGGGGGGTGGTCTCTGAAGTTACAATCCTAGTGGATTGTAACTATTTTTTTTTTTTTGAGACAGGGTCTCGCTCTGTCACCCAGGCTGCAGTACAGTGGCATAATCTTGGCTCACTGCAGCCTCTGCCTCCCAGGTTCAAGTGATTCTCCTGCCTCAACCACCCAAGTAGCTGGGATTAAGGCATGAGCCGCCATGTCCGGCTAATTTTCTGTATTTTTAAAGGAGACAGGGTTTCACCATGTTGGCCAGGGCTGGTGTCGAACTCCTGACCTCAAGTGATCCACCTGCTTTGGCCTCCTAAAGTGTTGGGATTACAGACGTGAGCCACCACACCCGGCCTAGCACTTTTCAGTTGATGGCTCTGTTTTGTTTCTTTGTGGCTAGCTGAAGTGCAGATGAAGGTCTTAGGAGTTTTTGAAGGTCAGGGTGTAGAAAGTTCTTGAGCATCTTTGTTGAAGTCATTGAGAATAATGGCTGAATTTGGGAGCAAGCAGAATTGAAGTTATTGGGTAGGGGAAATAGGAGGGTGTTCTGGAGGTTGGTAGATGTTGCAGAAGGAATGGTTTCAGTGAGTAATGTGACTCCCAAGCGATTTTTTAGTGATAGGATAACAGGGAGTGGTCCTGGGGAGCAAGAAGCAGCAAGTCCTTTTTTATCAAGCTGAAGGAGTAGGAGAATGATATAGCTAGTCATGAGAGAAGCAGATTGTCCAGGAAAAGCCAGGTAAGATGAGACAGGTGGTCACAATAATTGGGCAAGAGTTGATAGTGATTGGAATCATTGAGCCACGGGAATTGAGAAAAATAGCTAGATTTGTTACATTTACCAGTTCTCTTATTATTATTATTTTTTAATTTTTCAGACAGGGTCTTCTCTGTTACCCAGGCTGGAGTGCAGTGGTCCAGTCATGGCTCACTGCAGCCTTGCCTCCTGGGCTCAAGCAATTCTCCTGCCTCAGCCTTCTGAGTAGTTGGGATTACATATGTGTACCACCATACCTGGCTTTTCTTTTCTATATATATGTATATATATATTTTTTAATTTTTTAATTTTAATTTTAATTTTTTTTTTTTAAAGAGATGTGGTCTTCCTATGTTGCCCAGGCTGGTCTTAAACTTCTGGTCTCAAGCGATCTTCCCTCCTTGGCCTCCCAACAGTTTGTTTATAAAATAAATAATACTTGCAAAATCATAACCATTCATGTGTAATATGCTGATATAAATTTAGCTGAAAGATATTTGTGGGTTAAGAAATGAGACATTGGAAACAAAAGATGAGGTGGAGGTGTATTAAAGATAAGGTAAGCTGAGTATGATGGCTCACACCTGTAATCCCAGTGATTTGGGAGGCAGGGGCAGGAGGATCACTTGAGCTCAGGAGTTCGAGACCAGCCTGGGCAACATAGGGAAACCCTGTCTCTACACAAAAATAAAAAATTAGCTGGGCATGGTGGTGCACACCTATAGTTCCAGTTACTCAGGAGGCTGAGGTGGGAGAATCACTTGAGCCCTGGAAGTCAAGGCTGCAGTGAGCCATGATTGCACCACTGCGCTCAGCCTGGGCCACAGAGTGAGACCCTGTCTAAAAAAATCAAAAAAATACAAAAACCCTGTCTAAAAAAAAAGATGAAGGTAAAAGACAAAAGATGTTCTATTGTTTGTTGACAATAGAACATGGAGAAGCTGATAGGATCTGGTAAATAGATGGACTGGAAATGAATGAGGAAGTTGAAGTTGTAGGCATAAGAGAGGAGAGAGTAGCTTGCAGCAGAGAAAATATGGAGAGAACATATGGAAAGGGGTTTAAACAGGCCATGGTTTGTAGGGGCGAGGATATTGACAAGCATCATTAAGTGTAATATTTTTATTAAACTGGGAAGTAGGGAGCCCTTGTATTCCCTGGGCTTTTGCAGCCCAGGCCCAGTTGTGCCAGCTGCATGGGCGGGCCTGTGCTGGCGGTGCACTTAGCAGCTGGTGGAGCAGCGGCGTGGA
Organism: Homo sapiens; assembly: GCF_000001405.40. NCBI lineage: Eukaryota > Metazoa > Chordata > Mammalia > Primates > Hominidae > Homo > Homo sapiens. The sequence goes on along the minus strand of NC_000003.12, from coordinate 125,359,897 downwards.
GCTGCATGGTGGCGGGTGGGCTGCCGCCCACTTGGGTCTGTGTGCTCTTGGCCCATGGCAGGGCAGGCAGGTGGGCGCTCGCTGAAGTGAGCAGGAAATAACTGATGTCAGAAACCTATTCTTTCTCTGTGCAAATAAGAACAGTCTATGCCACCCATGATAAAAGGTGGCAGTATGTCATGCCAGCTTTTAAAAAAATATTGTCAGTGATAGAGACATTGAGATCTCTATTTGTGTGCTTGAGAACCACATCATGTTTTCTGTTTGCAAAAACTGGCAAAAACTTGCATAAGTAAAGAGATTCGGGTAAAATGTGGAAGAATGGGGCACATGGTAAGAATGAGATGTCCTAAGGGAACTAAAGTGGACTCTTTACTTTCTTTTTTGTCTATAATGACTTTAATAATCCTGAAGTGCTGGGATTATAGACATGAGCCACTGTGCATGGCCCATATCAGAGTTTTTGATGTTCATGTTTCAGAGAGAGAGAGAGAAAGCATATTTAATGTAGAAACATGAAATGGCAGTGAGAAAAATATGACAAGGCACAAAATACGTAGTATTGGTGTTCCATCCTAGTGTAGCTTTGCTTCAGGATTAGTTCCAGGATTTAGCCCTGGGCTTTCATCACTTTCTTCCTGCCTTAACTTCTACATCTGTTTAGCCACCAAATTTAATAATGAAAGATCTCTGGAGACTCAGAGTGTTGAAGGCCTGAGAGGGCCCAGGGTTCTCACTTTGCTCAACTCATGAAACTTGGCTGTACCATCATGTAGCAGCCCTGCCTGATTCAGTCTAGAGTTGTTTTTAGGATGTGCCTCAGACTGGACCTTGTTGAGGGAGAGCATATTCTGAATATTTGGGTGGATTGTGTGGGTTAGGCCAATGATGAGTATCTTAAAGAAGGTGATGGGAAGGATTATAGTAGACATGGAGAGAAGTGTGTTTTAAATGATAACTATATTAATTCAACATAGATAAATGTCTTCACAATACAGGGGTTTGACCTTTGAACATCTAGGGTGGCATGGAGAAGTTTTCCCTGTAAAATTGAGAAGAGCCAATATCCAAGAGATTAGAATGAAATGCACACTTGCTGTTCTGCAGGCCCCTGTATATGTGTACTTGTCATATGTACACACCTGTATGTGTAGATACATATAATATTAAAATTTGTTTATTTGATTAGGTTGTATAATTAGTTTTAAGGGAAGTGGGACTAGTAGTGGAACTAGTTTTGAGTTATGAATGAGTTAAATGAATTGTTACAGAATATTTGGAAAGGTCATTTTCAAGGTTTTGGGGACGAGCCTAGGAAACAGATTTTTCTGTAGCCATAGGGGCTTCTGGAATAGATGCACAAACTTTGATGGCAGTTTGGGGCAAATTTGTGTAAGTTGGAGAGTGTTAGCTTTGAGGAAATGAGAACAGACAAGAAAAACGCAGTGTTTGAGAAAGTTATTTATGTATTGATTTGGTAGGAGCTGATAAAAAATTATAAAAGTTGTGGAGAGATTTTGAATAGCTAAAGTGGGAGATATCATGGAAGTGATTTATGAAGCTTTTTTTTTTCTTTTTCTTTTTTGAGATGGCATCTTGCTCTGTTGCCCAGAGTGGAGTGCAGTGGCGTTATCACGCCTCACTGCAACCTCTGCCTTTTGGGTTCAAGCGATTCTCCTGTCTCAGCCTCCTGAATAACTGGGATTACAGGTGCCCGCCACCACACCCGGCTAATTTTTTGTATTTTTAGTAGAGATGAGGTTTCACCATTTTGGATAGGCTGGTCTTGAACTCCTGACTTCACGTGATCCGCTCGCCTCAGCCTCCCAAAGTGCTGGGATTACAGGCCTGAGTCCCCGCGCCGGTCCGATTTATGAAGCTTGTTACTTCAAGTATTAGAAAAGTAAAATGGAAAGATGGTTTAGAGAAGATTTCTTTTGGGAACAATATAAAACAAGCAAGGCAAGAAAAAACTAAAATGAGTAAATTAGGGTGTGGAAAAGTTAGAGTAAGAGGAAGGATTAAGGCGGAGGCTACTGAAAGAGATTTCTTACTGTCAGGCTGTGTGATAATACAAAGCTGTGTTCTGCAGCGTTTTGTTGGATACTATTGATAACTGGTTCTTTAAGGAAAGGGGCTTAAACAGGCCTTGGTTTGTAGAGGTGAGGATATTGACAAGCATCATTAAATGTAATATTTTTATTAAAGAAACTTGGAAGTAGGGAGCCCTCATATTCCCTGGGCTTTTGCAGCCCAGGCCCGATTGGGCCAGCTGCGCGGGCGGGACTGTGCCGGCTGTGCGGTTGGTGGCTGTGGAACAGCGAAGTGGAGCTGCGTGGTGGCGGGTGGGCTGCCGCCCGCCTGGGTCCGTGCGCTCTTGGCCCGTGGCTGGGCGAGTGGGCGCTCCCTGAAGTGAGCAGGCCCTGGAAGGGGGGGAGGACGGGCTTTTGCCCACCGTCTGGCGAACCCCGCACGCCTCTTTTTGGGGGGTGTGTGTGTGTCCCGCGCGAGTGTGCCTGTATGCAGGGACCAGCACCTTCCATGACTTCCTTTTGTGTGTAAGTGCGTGCGTGCGTGCGTGTGTCTGTGCGCGTGCGCCCCTCTGCAGGGAGGAGGAGGAGGAGGAGGCGGAGGGGCGCGGAGAAGCTGGCGCACTTTGGGCCTCGGCGGGGTCGTCTGCGGCGGCCGGACCTCCCAGATACCGCGCCTTCTGGGCCTGCCCCGCTGGCGCAGTCAGGACCCCTTCCCTCAACGGGATGGGAAACTTTGTGAGTGGCTTCTCCGCAGCCACTAACAAGTGTCCGCCAGACAGCGGGGGGGCCGCCGAAGGCTGATGATGGACACCCGTTTTTCTTCTTATTCCTCTTTTACAAATCTTCTGTTGAACTGCATTGTGTTTACAGTTTCACGTCTGTGAAAAGGTCAGCAGGTAACTTGCTTTACTAGACAGCTTTTTACTGGGTATTAAGAGCAAAAAATGTACACCTGTATCCTTATATTAAAAAACCCTGCTTGTCTAGTGGTAAGAACAATCCTAAGGCCTTTCCAGAATTGGGCTGTGGGGCAAACTTTTGCTCTCCAGACTTTGTGAAACACCTTTTACGATGCCAGGAAAGAACTACTTGTGCAGTAGAATGAAAGCTAGAGTTGGAAATGCAAAAGTTGAAGCTCTTTCCAACAGCTTGCATTTAAAACAGCTTTTTGTTTTATATAATAATTGTGATTTGTTGAGTTTACATGAAGAATTTTGCAAAATTAGGCATGGTGTGATTAAACAAGAGCGTTTCTTAATTTTATAGAGGGCAGTGGTAAAGGCACCACTCAGTTTGGAAATTTCAAGTATGTTGAAATGTTGCTATAAATAAAATCCTATTCAGATTTTTAGATTTAATAAATCTAAAAATATATTTGCAGTTGTCCTTTGGGTGCAGGAGGAAGTCCTGGGTTTCTCTGTGCTTGTTTCTGGGCAGATTTTCAGTATTGTTAGCATGATACAGGTATAGAACCTTAACCTGAGTGAATAATTTGCTTGAGATTACCAGTCTGTTTTGGAGCTGGAATAGACTCTGGGTCTCTTATGCCCAGTCTGGTGACCAATCCCAGAATAGACTAAGGAAACTGGGTGTTTGTCTGTTTGGTGGAAAATAGGGCTGAGCCAAAAAATGAACGTGTGAACGTTTACTTTTCTGTTAAAACATTTAAAAGTAATTTCTCCACACTGGATTTCTTTGGCCTTTCTTTAAAAACAGAGGACTTGAGTATATTACCCAGTGGTACTTCTAGTGGGATTTGTACCACATTTACATTTGATTACAACAGGCAGATGCTTATGGTTTTTAACGGGGGGAAGATATATTTTTCATGCGAGTGTTCTCAGTGGTTAGAATAGGGAGTAAGTAACTTGAGCACTTTTAGCCTCCTTGAAATGCTAGGGAGAAGAGGAATTAAGTTAATGTCATTAATCTCTGTTGAAAACGTTTGGACCTCTTTATTGAGGATTCTTTACAAGGCATGGATGGAATACCTATGGATTTCCCCATAGCTTATATACTTTTATTCTCATTGTTACTACATTAGCCACACACAACAATATTTAATTAATGTTTTCATTAGGCCTCATACAAGAGGGTACCTTTTTCTAGTATGTGAGTTGCAATTTTTTTTTTTTTTTAAATAGAGACTGGGGTCTCACTGTGTTGAGCAGCCTGGTCTCAAACACCTGGCCTCAAGCTATCCTCCTGCCTCGGCCTCCCAAAGTGCTAGGATTACACATGTGAGCCACTGTGCCCAGCCCGACCTTTTGTTTTGCTGGAAAACATTCCTGTCTTTTCTTATGCCATTCCTCCTATATCACAAAACAAAAACAGTCTTCTTCTTTTTCCCTTGTCTGGAAACCCTGGACATTTTAAATCGAATGCAATAGTTCTCAAACCAGAGGTGATTTTGTCAAACGTCTGGAGACATTTTTGGTCAGCACGCTGAGGGGGTTCCACTGGCATCTAGTGGGTAGATAAACCTCCTACAATGCATATGACAGTCCCCATGACAAAGAAATTATCCACTGCAAAATGTCAGTAGTGCTGATGTTGACAAAACCCTGATCTGATGTATTGAGAATAACATTCTCCCAAATGATTTAAACCTATGAAAGTTATTTGTAATCTAATTGATATCTCTATATCATGTATATTATAAATCTTTTTCCAATGTTGTCATTAGAATGATCATGGGTCAAAGGTTATGAAGTATATATTAGAACATTAGAACACAGGATTGTGGAGCTGGAAGATTAACAAGTATAACTCCTTCAGTATGTAGATGAAGACATTGAGTTATGGAGAGATGGTGACTTACCCAAGGTTGGACAGATAATGCAGAGCTCAGGTCTCTTATTACCTCTACTTCTTAGTTTAAATCATTGCTGAGGGAAAGGGTGTGGCATCACTTTTGCTTGATACAGATAAATTTAATCAAATTACAATGTTAAATAATCGCATTGTGAGAAATATTGTCTTTCAGTGAATTAGTTACTTTTTCAGATTCACACATATTTTTGAATTCTTCAGCATGGTGTTGTTACCACTGTAAACTTTTCAGTGGCTGCTTTTTAAGAAAATGTCTGAAAAATTTAAAAAGACCACATACAATTTTTAAAACAAAACAATTAAAGTTAGTTATGATAGCTTAGGCAAAATTTTGAATGCAAACTCAACCAGAATTACTGAAACATCTTAGGGTATCTTGAACTTAACACATTTGTTCTGTTGTGTGAGGATCACTAAAGTGGTGAATTATTGTGCTGATTGTAAATCTGTTATAGCAAGACCCCCTAGTTAATTTTAGAAAAAGATAACTGGAACCTTCAGGTGAAATGTAATTGGGGAAATACAAATTGGATATTTACATGAAATATTTTCAGATTGCTTAAGCAGTGTATTGTCAGAAGAAGTATCAATGGGGTTCTTTTTTAAATTAATTTTTTAAAGAATTGGGCAACAATTCCATAAAATAGAATAAGTGTTCCCTCAATGGGGTTCTTTTATGTTTAATTTTTTTTCCTAAAAACAAAACAAAAAAAGTGAACTGAGTTTTCCAGGCTCTGAATGTCTGAGTGTGATTTGTGTGGCCGCAGGAGCAGTGAACATCTCCAAAAAGACAATATGAGCAAAGATTTCCTTAAAAATTTATATATGACATTGAAATTTAAAAAAATTTTGAAATTTAAAATTTAAATTTTATGTAAGAAATTTATTTAATAGAAAAAACTTAAAATGCATATTAGCATAAAGAAAAATGGAATCAAGAGAAACTGCTTTTAATATTTTGGTATATGGCTTTCTTATATTTTTATTAACCTTTTATTATGGAAAAACGTAAATGATGAAAAATAGAATATTATGAACTCTCATATAGCAATTAATGGCTAAGCTTATGTCATCTGTACCTCCACCTTACCCCTCTCTCCTCTCTCTTTTTTTAGTTTCTATATAGAGATGGGGTCTTGCTATGTTGCCCAGGCTGGTCTCAAACTCCTAGGCTCACGTGATCTTCCCGCTTTGGCTTCCCAAAGTGCTGGGATTACAAGCATGAACCACTGAACCTGGCCTCACATGTTAATTTTTTTTTTTTTAAACTTTATTCTGGGCTGTGCACAGTGGCTCATGCCTGTAATCCCTACACTATGGGAGACCAAGGCAGGTGAATCTCTTGAACTCAGGAGTTCAAGAACAGCCTAGGAAACATGGCGAAACTCTGTCCCTACTATATAAAAAAAGGAAAAAACCTTTATTTTGAAAAAATTATAGACTCACAGGAAGTGGCAAAATTAGTACATAGTCCTGTGTACCCTTCACCCAGACATCTTAATAAATTTCTAGTAAGACATCAAAACTAGGAAATTGACATTGGTATATTACTGTTAACCACACTACAGAATTTATATCATTTTCACTGCTTTTTAAACCTGCACTTATTTTTGTGTGTTCACAGTTCTAGCAATTTTATGCCATATATAAATTCATGTAACTACCACCAAGACCAAGATCCAGAACTATTGCCTCATCACAAAGGAAACTCCTCTTGCTATCCCTTTATGTTCCCACCCCATTCCAACACTCCTCCTTGTACCCTGGCAAACTGTTTACTATCTATAGTTTTGTTCTTTCCAGAATGACATAGTTTGTTTATGTATGTATACTTTGTATACATACATACTTTGTTTAGCCATTCACTTGTTAAAGAACTTTTAGTATGTTGCAGTATTTTGTTATTATGAATAAAGAGGTTATGGACATTTGTGTACAGCGTTTTTTGTAAACAAAAGTTTTCCTTTCTTTGAGATAAAAGCCCAAGAGTGGGATTGCTGGGTTGTATGGCAAGTACATGTTTAGTTATTTAAAAAACTTCCAAACTGCTCAAAAATCAGTTGAACATATTTGTATTGGTCTGTTTTGGGGTTCTGTATTCTCTTCCATTGATAAGTGTGTCTGCCTTCCCTCCAGTACCACGCTGTCTTGATTATTATAGCTTTATAGTGAGTCTTATCGAGTAGAGTGCCTCCTCTCACTTCATTCTTCTCTGTCAAGATTGTTTTAGCTCTTCTGGTTTTGTTGCCTTTCCATATAAATTTTAGAATAATCACATCTGTATCTACAAAAAAAATCTTGCTGGGAGTTTGATAGGAATTGAATAAACCTATAGTTGAATTTGAGAAGATCTTTTTTTTTTTTTTTTTTAAGATAGAGGTCCTTCAGTCCGTGACCACAGGATATTTCTCCGTTTACTTAGATCTTCCATGTTATTTTGAAGCAAATTCCAGCCATCATATAGTTTTCCTTAAACGGTGTTATTGAGGTATAACTTATATACCATACAATTCACCCACTTAAGCTATACAGTTCAGTTGTTTTCAGTGTACAGAGGCATACAGCCATCAGCATAATCAATTTTAGAACAGTTTCATCACCCTAAAAAGAAACTACCCATTAGCAGTCAATTTCCATTCCCTCTTCCTCCCCGTCCCTGGCAACTACTAGTCTACTTTCAGTCTCTAGGACTTTGCCTGTTCTGGACATTTCATATGAATTGAATCATAAAGTAGATGATCTTTTTTGTCTGGCTTCTTTTACTTAGTGTAATGTTACATGATGTAGCATGTGTCAGCAGTTCATTCCTTTTTATTGCTGAATAGTAATCTATTATATGGGTTTACCACTTTTTTTTGTATTCATTCATCAGTTGTTGGGTTGTTTCCACTTTGTTTTTTTTTTTTTGGCCATTGTGAATAATGCTGCTGTGAACGTCCATGTGCAAGTTTTTATGTGAACATTTGTTTTCATTTCTTTTGTGTATATGTGTATGTAAGAGTGAAAAATTGCTGAGTCATGTGGTACCTCTGTTTAACCATTTGAGTAACTTCCAGACTATGTTTCAAAGCAGCTTTACCATTTTACATTTCTATCAGCAGTATATGAGGGTTCCAGTTTCTCCATATCCTTGATAACACTTCATACTGTCTTTTTGATTATAGCTATGCTGGTGGGTGTGAAGCAGTATTTCATGGTTTGATTAGCATGTCTCTGTTGGCTAATGCTGTGGAGCATCATTTCATCTGCTTATTGGCCATTTGTATGTATTTTTTGGAGAAATGTCTTCTGATCTTTTGCCTGTTTTTTAGTTGGGTTGTCTTTTTATTGTTGGGTTTTAAGAGTTCTTTATATGTTCTGGATGTTAGACTTATCAGGTAAATGATTTGCATATATCTTCTCCAATTCTGTGGGTTGTTTTCACTTTCTTGATAGTGTCTTTTGAAGCATAACAGTTAAAATTTTCTTATTGTAATAAAAAATACATAATATGAGACCTATCCTTTTAACAAATTTCTAAGTGTGCAATACAGTATTGTTAATTATAAGCACAATGTTGTACAGCAGATCTCTAGAACGTTTTCATTTTGGATAGCTTAAACAATACCCATTGAATAGCAACTGCGCTTTTTTTTTTTTTTTTTTTTTTTTTGAGAAACAAGGTCTCACTCTGTGGCCCAGGCCGGAGTGCGGTGGCACGGTAACAGATTGCAGTCTCAACCTTCTGGGCTTAAACAAGCTTCTCGCCTCAGCCTTCTGAGTAGCTAGGACTACAGGCACCTGCCACCACGCCTGGCTAATTTTAAATTTTTAAATTATTTTTGTAGAGACTGGGTCTCATTCTGTTGCCCAGGCTGGAGTGCAGTGGTGCAATCACAGCTCACTGTAGTCTCGACCTCTTGGCTTCAAGCGATCCTCCCATCTTGGTCACTCAGAGTGCCGGGATTACAGGTGTGGGCCACCACACCCAGCCTCAACTCCTCATTTCTACCTCCCCTCATCCCCTGGCAACCATTGTTTTACTTTCTGCTCCTATGAGATTGACTACTTTATCTTAAATCCCTCATAAAAAGTGGAATCATACAGTATTTGGCCTCCTGTGACTGGCTTGTTTCACTTATAATGTTCTTAAGGTTCATCCATGTTGTCAACGTTATAGAATTTCCTTCTTTAAGGATGAATAATGTTCCATTGTGTGTGTGTATATATATATGGACTGCTGCCAGTCGGAGGCCTGTTACAGATTGGGCTGCACAGCAGGAAGTGAGTGGCAGGTGAGTGAGCATTACTGCCTGAGCTCTGCCCACTGTCAAATCAGCAGTGGCATTAGATTCTCTTACATTCTCTTAGGAGCGTGAAGCCTATTTTTAACGGCGCAGGTGAGGAATCTGTTTTACATGCTCCTTTTGAGAATCTAATGCCTGATGATCTAAGGTGGAACAGTTTCATCCTGAAACCATCCTTGACCCATTGAAAAATTGTCTTCCGTGAAACCAGTCCCTGGTGCTAAAAAGGTTGGGGACTACTGCTGTAGTTAACATGAGTGCAAATATTTCCTCAAAAATCCATGGTGGTGGCTCACGCCTGTTATCCCAGCACCTGGGGAGGCCGAGGCCAAGGCAGGCGGGTCATTTGAGGTCAGGAGTTTGAGACCCGCCTGGCCAACATGGTGAAACCCTGTCTCTAATAAAAATACAAAAAAAAATTAGATGGGCCTGGTGACACATGCCTGTAGTCTCAGCTACTTGGGAGGCTGAGTTGGGAGAATCACTTGAACCCAGGAGACGGGAGATTGCAGTAAGCCGAGATTGCGCCACTGCACTGTAGTCTGGGTGACAGAGTGAGACTCTGTCTCAAAAAACAAAACAAAACCAAAACCCATTATCAATTCTTTTGGATAAATATGCACAAGTGGGATTTCTGGAACATACAGTAGTTCTATTTTTAGTTTTGTGAGGAACCTCTGAACTTTAAAAAAAATATTATGCACCATTTTGCATTCCTATGAACAGTACACAGGGTTTACAATTTCTCCATCCTTGCCAATACTTGTTATTGTTATTTTTGGATAATGGTTGTTCATACAAGTTCATGTATCTTTTTGGTATAATGATTTCTTTCTTTTGGATATACACCCAGTAATGGGATTGTGGGGTCAAATAGTAGCTCTGTTTTAAGTCTGTTTGTTTTTTGAGACAGGGTCTGGCTCTGTCATCTGAGCTGTAGTGCAGTGGTGAGATCATAGCTCACTGCAACCTCAAACTCCTGGACTCAAGTGATCCTCCTGCCTCAGCCTCCTGAAGTGCTGGGATTACAGGTGTAAACCACCACATCTGGCCTGTTTTAAGTTTTTTGAGAAATCTTGAAGTTGTTTTCCACAGTGGCTGAACTAATTTACATTTCCACCAGCAATATTTAAGTGTTCCCTTCTCTTCACAGCCTCACCAACATCTGTTAGTTTATGATTTTTAATAATAGCCATTCTTACTGGTGTGAGATGGTATCTCATTGTGGTTTTGATTTGCATATTCCTGATGATTACTGATGGTGAGCATCTGCTTATATACCTGTTGGCCTTGTGTATGTTGTCTTTGAATAAATATTTTTTCAGGTCCTTTTCCCATTTGAAAAGCAGGCTATTTGTTATTTTTTGCTATTGAGTTGTAGGAGTTCCTTGTATATTGTGGATTTTAGCCCCTTAGCAGATGTGTAGTTGCAAATATTTTTTCCCATTTCATAAGTTGCCTAGTTGCTCTGTTGATTGATCTGTTTGCTCTGCGAAGCTTTTTAGTTTGATGTAATCTCACTTGTCTGTTTTTACGCTTGTTGCCCGTGCTTTTGGTGTCAAATCCTAGAAATCATGGCTGTGCCATGAAGCTTTTCTCCCATGTTTTCTTCTAGGAGTTTTACAGTTTCAGGCCTTATTAAAGTTTCTAATCTATTTTGAGTTGACTTTTATGTATGGTGTAAAATGAGGGTCAAACTTCAATTCTTTTTCATATAGCTGCCCAGATTTCCCAGTACCATTTATTGAAGAGACTGTTCTTTTCCTGTTGTGGATTCTTGGCACCTTTCTTGAAGATCAGTTGCCTCTGTATGCCTGGGTTTATTTCTGGGCTTTCTGTTCTGTTCCATTGGTCTGTATGTTTTGTTTTTATGCCAGTACCATACTGTTTTAATGTGTTTTGAAATCAGGAAGTGTGAGGCCTTTAGCTTTGTTGTTCTTTTTCAAGATTGTTTTGGCTACATTCGGGGGCTTTTGTGGTTCTGTTTGGGTTTTAGGATTGTTTTTGTATTCCTGTAAAAAATGCCATTGGGGTTTTCATTGAGATCGTATTGAATCTGTACATCGCTGTGAGTAGTATGGACATTTTAACATTAAGTCTTCTAATCCATGAACATGGGATGTGTTTCCATTTATTTGTGTCTTCAATTTCTTTCATCAGTGTTTTGTAGTTTTCAGTGCATACAAGTCTTTGCCTCCTTAGTTAAGTTTAAGTATTGTTTTTGATGCTGTTGCTGTTGGATAGCTTTTTTTTTTTTTTTTTTTTTGAGACAGGGTCTTGCTTTTTTTCCTGGGCTGGAGTGCAGTGGTGCTATCACAGCTCACTGCAACCTTGGCGTCTCGGGCCCGAGTGATCCTCCTGTCTCAGCCTCCTGAGTAGCTGGGACTATAGGTATGCGCCACCACACTAGACTTTTCTTGTGACACTTTTGAAGCTTCACCTGTTACTTATAGGTCTTTAATTCATTTAACTAATTTTTTTTTTCTTGGAGACAAGGTCTTGCTCTGTCACCCAGGCTGGAGTGCAGTGGCACGATCAAGGCTCACTGCAGCCTTGATCTCCCAGGCTCAAGCAATCCTCCAGCTACAGCCTCCCGAGTAGCTGGGACTATGGCACATGCCACCACGCCCAGCTAATTTTTGTATTTTTTTTTTGGTAGAAATGACGTTTTGCCATGTTGCCCAGGCTGGTCTCAAGCTCCTGGGCTCAAATGATCCACCTGCGTTTGCTGGGATAACAGGCATGAGCCACTGAGCCAGGTCTTTAATCCATTTAGAGTTAATATTTGTATATGGGATGATGAAGGTATCCAGTTTCATTCTTTTGCATGTAGATATTCCTTGGTTCTAGCACTGGTTTGTTGAAAAGACTTCTTTCTCTACTGAATTGTCTTGGTGTCAAAAAATTGGTTGACTTAGCCTGGTGCAGTGGGCACACTCCTGTAGTCTCAGCTGTTTGGGAGGCTGAGATAGGAGGATCTTTGAGCCCAGGAGTTCGAGTCCAGCCTGGGCAACATAATGAGACCCCACCTCTATAAAAAGAATACATAAAATTAGGAGGCTGAGGCAGGAGAATCACTTGAACCCAGGAGGTGGAGTTTGCAGTGAGCTGAGATCGTGCCACTGCACTCCAGCCTGGGTGACAGAGTGGGACCCTGTCTCAGAAAAAAAAAAAAAATAATACATAAAATTTAACAAAAAAGATTGACCATAAATTTAGTTATTTAAGTCTGGACTCTAAATTCTATTCCTTGATCTATATGTTTATCTTCATGCCAGTACCACAGTGTCTTGATTACTGTAGCTTTGTTAGTTTTAAAATCAGAATGTATGCATCCTTTAACTTTGTTCTTTTCTTTCAAGATCGTTTTGGATTTTCTTGGTCCTTTGCAATTCCATATGAATTTTAGCATTAGTTTGTCCATTTCTGCAAAGAAAGGTTCTGGGGTTTTGATATGAGTTGCACTGAATCAGTAGGTGATTTGGTGAAGTATTTTCCTCTTAACAATATGAAATTTTTCAATCCATGAACATTAGATGTTTGTTTAGGTCTTTGTTAATTTCTTTCAGGGATGTTTTGTAGTTTTCAGTGTACATGTCTTGTACCTGTTTTGTTAAATTTATTACCAAGTACTTTATTTTTTTCCTGCTATTATAAGTGCTTATGATTTTCTTAATTTTATTTTTGAATTGTTCATTGCTTGTGTACAGAAATATAATTGATTTTTGTAAATTTTGCATCCTTGGTGAACTTGTTTATTCTAGTAGCTTTAGTGGATTCCATAGGGTTTTCTATATATATGATCATGTCATTTGGAAATAGAGACAGTTTTTTTTCCCAATATTAATGCCATTTAATTCAGTTTTTTGCTTAATTTACTGTAAATTAAGCAAAATTTACAGTAAGTTTTGGGGATTAGTTCATTCTCACACTGCTATAAAGAAATACCCAAGCCTGGGTAATTTATAAAGAGGTTTAATTGGCTGGGGAGGCCTGAAGAAACTTACAAATATGGCAGAAGATGAAGGGGAGATAAGGACCTTCTTCACATGTTGGCTGAAGAGAGAAATGCAAGTAGTGGAAATGCCAGTTGCTTATAAAACCATCACATCTTTTGAGAACTCATTCACTATCATGAGAATAGCATGGGGGAACTGCTCGTGTGATCCAATCATCTTCCTCCCTTGACATGTGGGGATTACAGGTCCCTGTCTTGATATGTGGGGATTACAATTCGAGATCAAATTTGGGTGGGGTACAGAACCAAATCATATCATTTACCTTGCTAGAACCTCTACTGTAGTGTTGAATAGAAGTAGTAGCAAGAGTAGACATCCTTGTCTTCTTTCTGATCTTAGGGGGAAGCACTTATTTTACTTTTGAATATGATATTAGCTTTGATTTTTCATAGATGGCCTTTATCAGGTTGAGGAAGTTCCCTTTCCTAGTTGGGTGTTTTTATTGTGTAAATGGTGTTGTATTTCATCAAATGTTTTTCTTCATCTAAGATGATCTGCCAAAAATAAAAGTTTTTGGACTTTGTTCTATTGATGTGGTGTATTATATTGATTTTCAAATCTTAAGCCAACCTTGCATTTCTGAGATAAATCCTACATGGTCATGCATAATCCTTTCTATGTGTTGGTAGATTTGGTTAGTATTTTGTTGAGGATTTTTGCAGCTACATTTGTAAGAGTTATAGGCTTGTCATTTTCTTTTCTTGTGATGTCTTTGTCTTGTGTTGGTAACAGTAATGCTGATCTCATAAAATGAGTTGAAGAATATTCTCCCCAAGTTTTGGGAAGAGTTTGTGAACAGTTGGTATTAATTCTTCATTAAATGTTTGGTAGAATTCACCAGTGAAGCCATCTGAGCCTGCAGGTTTTTTTTTGTTTTTTGTTTTTTGGCAGCAGTTGGGGGGGCTTTTAAATTAAGAAGTCAGTTTTATTTAATGGCTATGGGGTTATTTATATTCTCTGTTTCATCTTGGTTGTGTTTTGCTAATGTGGTTTTGTGAAGTTGGTGTCAAATTTAAGAGCATAAAATTGTTTGTAATATTCCCTTATATTCTTTTAAAACTGCTATAGGATCTGTACTGATGTTCTGTTTCATACCTGATGTTTTGTGTCTTCTGTTTGTCTTTTTTTGTTGTTGTTGTTGTTGTTAGTTTTGATAGAGGCTTACAAATTTTTTGCTTAATTGATTTTCTCTATTTTCCTCTTTTATTTCTTCTTTTAATAATTCCTTCCTTCTTGCTTTGGCTTCATTTTGCTCTTTTTTAGTTTCTTTTGGTAATTCAATTACTGGTTCGACATCTTTCCTCATTTCTAATGTAAGCATTTAGTGCGTCTGATTGTTGTTAGCTGCATCCCATGTATTTTGATGTGTATTATGTTTTTATTTTCATTTATTTTTATGTATATTTAAAAATTTTGAGACTTCTGTTTTCATCCATGGACTTTTTAAAAGTGTGTTGTTTATTGCTCTATTTAGAGATTTTCCTGTTGTCTTTCTGTTACTGATTTCTAGTTACTGGTTAGAAAATACACTGTTACCATTTCAGTTCTTTTAAGTTTTTTGAGGTTTGTTTTATGGCCTTGGTGAATGTTCCATGGGTACTTAAGAAAAATGTGTATTCTGCTGTTATTGAGTGGAATATTCTCTACATATGTCAAGAAGACCATGTTGGTTGATTGTGTTATTAATGTAGCCACTCTGCTTTAAAAAATTTATTGTCATGTCTTTCCATTCTTGTGCTTTTAACTTGTTATGTTGCTGAATTTAAATTTCTTGCAAGCAACATATAATTGGGCCATTAAAAAAAAAATCTACTCAGGCTAGCTGAGAGGAGATCCAGAGCCCAGAGCATCCAGGCCACTGCCCCACTTCCCCTGTGTCCCATCGCCTGCCACCTGCATCCTCAGTCCTCTTCCAACTATCTGCTAAAACATGATGGATTACTATGAAGTTCTAGGTGTGCAGAGACATACCTCACCCAAGGATATTAAAAAAGCATAATGGAAACTGGCACTGAAGTGGCACCCAGATTCCTGAGAATAAAGAAGAAGCAGAGAGAAAATCAAAACAAGTGGCTGAGGCATGTGAGGTGCTGTAAGATGCTAAAAGATGGTACATCTATGACAGGATTAAATGGTGGCAAAGAAGGATTAAATGGTGGAGGAGGAGGTGGAAGTCATTTTGACAGTCCATTTGAGTTTGGCTTCACATTTTGTAACCCAGATGATGTCTTCAGGGAATTTTTTTGGTGGAAGGGACCCATTTTTATTTGACTTCTTTGAAGACCCTTTTGAGGACTTTTTTTTGGAATGGGGTCCCTGAGGAGGCCAAGGGACAGAGTCATTTTTTCCACATTCAGTGGATTTCCATCTTTTGGAAGTGGATTTTCTTCTTTTGATACAAGATTTGTTTCATTCAGGTCACTAGGTCATGGGGGCTTCACTTCATTCTCTTTCGTGTCGTTTGGTGGTAGTGGGATGGGCACTTCCAAATTGATATCAGGTTCTACTAAAATGGCTAATGGCAGAAAAATCACTACAAAGAGAATTGTTGAGAATGGTCAGGAAGGAATAGAATTTGAGGAAGATGGCCAGTTAAAGTCCTTAACCATACAGGGTTAGGAGCAGCTGCTGCACTTGGGTAACTCAAGTAATTTAATGCGTGCATTTAACAGAACTGTTAAACTATAACAAGCACCATTTGAAGATTAACAGGAACATTTTTTTTGAACATTTCAAATGAACTCAACTTTCAGTATAATTGTACCAAATCTAAAGTATTTATAGACAGCTCAACAGAGTCCCCATTTGTCATAGACTTTTCAGTTTATTGTTGGTGTGTCCGGAGTTGGTTCCTGTCGGTGGGTTCGTGGTCTCTCTAACTTCAAGAATGAAGCCATGGACCTTTGCGTTCAGTGAGTGTTACAGCTCTTAAAGATGGCACGGACCCAAAGAGTGAGCGGTAGCAAGGTTTATTTTGAAGAAAGGACAAAGCTTCCACAGTGTGGATGGGGACCCGAGCGGATTGCTGCTGCTGGCTGGCGTGGCTAGCTTTTATTCCCTTATTTGTCCCTGCCCATGTTCTGTTTCTGTGCTATCAGAATGCCCTTTTTTCAATCCTCCCTGCAATTGGCTGCTTTTAGGATTCTGCTGATTGGTGCGTTTTACAGAGCGCTGATTGGTGTGTTTTACAGAGCGCTGATTGGTGCATTTTACAATCCTCTTGCTAGCTACAGAGTGCTCATTGGTGAGTTTTTACAGAGCGCTGATTGGTGCATTTTACAATCCCCTTGCTAGCTACAGAGCACTGGTTGGTGCATTTTACAATCCTCTTGTAAGACAGAAAAGTTCTCCAAGTCCCTAGTCCCCAGGAAGTCCAGCTGGCTTCACCTCTCATTGGGACCACATAATAGGACCTTTTTTTTTGTCTTTAAAATTGTAAATCTCTATGTGTACTTTGCATTTTTACTAAATGTACTCCAAGGTGAGCCTTGACACGTCAATGGTAGGAAAAGATTGCATACTAAACCAAAACACGTAAAAGCATGGATCTACTTTTCCATCGTGTTTAAAATGTGAGTCATGTAGTGTTAGTCTGCTGTGAAGTTAGCATTGCCAGGATGAATCTTCTACAGAAATTGTTACATTTCTGGTTTAATATAAATTAAGAATTTTTCTGGTAGTGCGTGAATGTTTGTTTCCTGTCTCCTTGCAGATTACTAGAACCTTTATTTAGGATTCCATCTTGACTTATTTATAATGTTGTTTTGAGTCTATCTCAGTTTTGTAGTGGCTGTTTTGGTTATTATATGCATACATGACTTAGTCTACTAATATCAACTTTTATACTTCAACAGAAGTGTGGAAACCTCACTTTTATTTTACCTTTCACCTTCTCCAATTTTAAATATAATTGTCTTGAGTATCAGATGGTGTTATAACTTTTGTTTCCATCATGTAATATGATTTATAAAACTAACCAAGAAAAAGTCTTGTTTATACCTATATTTCCGTTCTTTCTGTTGTTTCTTCTTTGATATTTCAACATTCCTTTTTAAAAAAATCATTTTCTTTATGTTCAGCAAATTTTCTTCAGCCAGTCTTTTATGGATAGGTGTGCTAGAGACTTTTTTTTTTTTAACTTTTCTTCATTTGAGAATATACTTTTATTTCCTTATTATTTCTGAAGGGCAGTTTCACTGGATATAGAATTCCCAGTTGGCAGTTGCATTTTTTCCAATATTTGAAAAATACTGTGCCACTTTTATTTTTGGCCTCTGTGGTTTGAGATGAGAAATCTGGTGTCATTTGAATTGGTGTTCCCTTATGGGTAATGTGTTGTTTCTCTCTGGCTGCTTTCAAGGTTTTTTTTTTGTCTTTTTTTTTTGTCTTTAGTTTTTGAATGTTTAATTATGATGTTAGAGTGAATTTCGTTAGGCTTATCCTCTTTGTATTTGCTTAGCTATTTGGATCTGCAAGTTAGTGTTCCTAAATTTGAGTACGTTTCAGTTATCATTTCTTCAAGTAGTGTTTGAGCCCCACTCCCTTTCTTCCTTCTTTATGAAACTTTGATGGTGTGAATGTTGGATTTTTTTTTTTTATTGCCCTGTAGTTCCCTAAAGCTACTACTTTTTTCAATTTATTTTCTTCTCTTGTTCAGATTGGGTGAATTCTACTTTTCTGTCCTCAAGTTCAACGATTCTCTTCCCCATGATTTCCATTCCCCCCCCCGCCCCGAAACAGAGTGTGGCTCTGTCACCCAGGCTGGAGTTAGTGGCACGATCTTGGCTCACTGCAGCCACCACCTCCCAGGCTCAAGTCATTCCCCTACCTTAGCGTCCTGAGTAGCTGGGACTACAGGTGTAAAGCCACCATGTCTGGCTAATTTTTATATTTTTTGTAGAGATGGTGTTTCGCCATGTTGCCCAGGCTGGTCTTGAACTCCTAAGCTCACGTAATCCACCTGCCTTGGCCTTCCAAAGTGCTGGGATTACAGGCACGAGCCACCATGCCTAGCCCATCTCTATGTTTTTATTGAGCCCACCTTAAAAATTTATTGTACTTTTTAGTTGTCTTAATTTTTTTCTTTTTAGTTTTTATTTATTTGCTTATTTATTTTATTTACTTTTTTTTCTAGGCAGTAGTGCAGTGGTGTGATCACAGCTCACTACCGCTCTGACCTCCCAGGCTCAAGCAATCTTCTTACCTTAGCCTGGCAAGTAGCTGGGACTACAGGTGTGTGCCACCATGCCCAGTTAATTTGTAAATTTTTTTTGTACAGATGGGGTCTCACTGTGTTGCCCACGCTGGTCTTACCCTCCTGAGCAGAAGTGATCCTCCTGCTTCATCTTCCCAAAGTGCTGAAATTACAGGTGTGAGCTACTGCAGCTGGCTTTGCTTTTTTTTTTTTTTTTAAATTTTTCTGTAGTAGGTATCTGAAGACTATGCTTCTTTTTTTAATAACTTCTGTTTCTTTGCTGAGATTTTCCATTTTTTCACTTATTTCTGGATAATGTATAATTGTGGAAACATTTTTATTATGGCTGTTTTTTTTTTCACTTGTTGCAGTAGAATTTGTTAATATATTGTTGAAACTTTTGCTTAAAAATTCTTGTCAAATTCCAACATCTGATTTACCCTCTACTTTGGCTTTGGTTGATTTTCTTTTCTCATTTATGGTATGATTTTCTTAGGTGTTTTTTGTTACATCATGGACATTTTTTTTTTTTTTTTTTTTTTTTTTGAGCCGGAGTCTCGCTCTGTCGCCCAGGCTGGAGTGCAGTGGCGGGATCTCGGCTCACTGCAAGCTCCGCCTCCTGGGTTCACGCCATTCTCCTGCCTCAGCCTCCCAAGTAGCTGGGACTACAGGCGCCCGCCACTACGCCCGGCTAATTTTTTTTGTATTTTTAGTAGAGACGGGGTTTCACCGTTTTAGCCGGGATGGTCTCGATCTCCTGACCTCGTGATCCGCCCGCCTCGGCCTCCCAAAGTGCTGGGATTACAGGCATGAGCCACCGCGCCCGGCCATCATGGACATTTTATCTGTTACCTTAGGAGGCTCTGGGCCCTATTTAAATTTTTATTTTAGGAGTGGGCTGTGGTTCTAGTGGCAGTTTAATTTTTAGAGACTTTGCAGTCTACTTGGTTTGTTTGATCCTACTGGAGCTCCCACTGGAAGGGGTTTCCCCATGCTGGGTTTCTGATTGTCTACAGATGGGAGAGGATTATGGTGGGACCCACCTACTGGTCTCTTCTTTTCTCGCCTGTCCTGGTAACTTTGGGCAAGTGAAGAGGTTCTTGGCCCAACCTGAGCCACTTGCTATGGCTGGGTCCCTGAATTTTGCCTACTTGCCTCTCTGTCTCTAGGTGGAAAACAGCCTCAGGCCAAATAGGGAAGAAGAGTGCTTCCTGTGGTCTTTATTGTCATTTGGGCTTCAAGTTGATCTCCTTCTCCTGATGTTTTCAGGACAACATCAGAGAGTTGTTGCCATTTGTTTTGGCGGAGGAATGTGACTATCTGAGCTGCTTTCTGTTGCTAGATTGGTGGTTGGGAAATGCCAGGTCTGGATTGTCTTCTTCTGTTGGGTGTGAGGACATGAAACACTCTGCTGCTCTTTTGTTTCTCCATTCCTTGGGTCCCAAATTGGTTTACTGCCTTTTTACCACCTTTGGATTTTCCTTTGCTTATTATTTCAGTGGTTTACAGTTGTGCTTCGTGAGTAGGGGCAGTAGGAGAACAGATCTAGGCCATTTTATCTGAACTGGAAGTTGAAGTCCCTGCATCATCTCAATCCAGGCAGTTATTTCAGCATTGAAAATAATGGTATATATTGTCTACGGCCATACCACCCTGAACGCACCCGATCTCGTCTGAAAATAATGGTATATAATTATGTGCTTTGTGAACTTAAAATTTATTTTTAATTTTTAATTTTTGTAGGTACATAGTAGGTGTATATGTTTATGGGGTACATGAGATATTTTGATACAGGCATAATATGATTATGGGGCATCCATCTCCTCGAGTATTTATCCTTTGTATTACCAACAATCCAATTATATTATTTTAGTTATTTAAAAATGTACAGCCTTGTTTACTTCTAAGCATTATATAAAATGTGTGCTTCACTTATAAACCACACTATCTGACACTCAGAAGGTTTTTGTGAGGTCAGTCATATCCAGCTCAAGAGGTTGCTAGGGAATAGATGCATACTGTTTTACTGTGCGTCTACACATAAACAGAATTTTGTTATTTAGTTAATTAAAGTGAGTTTTTGAATTCTGAGCATTTTCTTCAAAGATGTGTTTAATAGATTGTACTTAAGATGTTTCAACTATTCCCGTAATACGTTACTGCATTTTAGCACTCTTAAACATTTTTCAAAAAAAGACTGAAAATCTTGTATTATGCAACTGATTTATTCTAATTAATAGATTGGAAAAGGTAAGATAAATTGTCGTGCTTTTACATTGCCTAGTTTTCCAATGGAGAATAAATTGGCCCAAAATAAGAACATGTTCACCGTACATTAATAGAAGCTAGTGTTTCTGGCTGGGGATGGTGGCTCACACCTGTAATCTCAGCAACTTGGGAGGCTGAGGTGGGAGGATCACTTGAGGGTCAGGAGTTTGAGATCAGCCTGGGGAAATGTAGTGAGACTCCATCACTAACAACAACAACAACGGAATCACTGGGCTCCTTTGCAGCTACTTCTTAGTATTCTCTAATTGATTCTTATGGCAAATCTCAGTTTTCCTAATCAGATTAAAAATGATTCCCTTCGCTCAGTGACTGTATGATTTCTTTTATGTTTAGGCACACCTCTACATTGTGTTCAGTGCCTAGTGTAATTCTGGGCATGTATTCTAGACAGAGTAGATCGGATTGGTTCTGGCATTGAATAAGGTGAAAAATATCAAAAGATGGACTGGAAATGGAGTATGGCTTTTTGTGGCCCACTTACAAGTTTTTAAATGACCATATTTAATTATATTTCATATTAAAACTAGTAATTCCATTCTTGTTATTTTTGACTTGTGATAGTTTTTTTTTTTTTTTTTTTTTTTTGAGACAGGGTCTCACTCTGTCACTCAGTCTGGAGTGCAGTGGCACAATGTCGGCTCACTGCGACCTTTGCCCCCCAGGCTAAAGCGATTCTCATGCCTCAGCCTTCCAAGTAGCTGGGATTACAGGCGTGTACCACCATGCCTGGCTAATTACTTGTAATAGTATTTTAACATGTTTTTGATGACAAAGAATTGACACTTTAAAAATCAAAGTTAAATGAAGTGTTAAACTTTAATTTTTAAGTGGGCATTTCTATATTCTTTTCTAGGGTTCCCTTCATTATTACAGTAACTTTATGTAATAAAAATGATGAGTTTTCTCTGATTATATACATATGTACCTATCATTGTAAATAGCATCTTCATTTCAAAATTTATGTCTATTGGTGTTACATTGAACTTTGAAGATGTTTACTTTTTTTCTGACTCCTAGAATATTGCTAAGAGTAATGTTAAATATATCTTAATTTGAAAATGACCTTACCTGTGGTGTTATGTTAGAGTAGACATTTATTAGGAGGTGGAGGATCTGGTTGATGGCTTTTGTTTTTGATTTGGAGATAGGGTCTCACTCTGTTGCTCAGGCTGGAGTGCAGTGGTGCAATCCTAGCTCACTGCAGCCTCAAACTCCTTGGCTCAAGTAATCCTCCCACCTCAGCCTTCCTAGTGTCTGGGTGGCATGCACCACCATGCCTGGCTAACAAAAAAAATTTTTTTTTTTTGTAGAGCTGGGGTCTCACTATGTTCTCCAGGCTGGTCTCAAACTCCTGGGCTCAAGTGATCCTCTCACCTTGGCCTCCCAAAGTGTTGGGATTATAGGCATGAACTGCTGTGCCTGGCCTTAGTTGAAGTCCTTGTCTTGCCACTAAGATGGTGTGTAATCTTCGTTACTTAACCTCTTGAACCTGTTTCATCATCTAAAGAACTGAGACAAACAATAATACTTGCTCAGATAGTTGTGTGTGAGTGTTTAGGGGGTGTGGAATGAAATGTCGCATGTGAAAGCACTTTGTAAACTCTAAAGTACTTTATCAGAATATGGTGGTTTCATCTTTGAGAAGATTGTTTCAAAGTTTGCCTGGGTGATCTTGATCATCATAGTACAAAGTGTATCATGATTATTTACAAAATTAATGTTTATTCAGTAAAAACTTATGTAAGAATTAAACAGCTTTTCCTTAAGTTTGGTGGCTTACTAACCTTAAAAACTCATTTACATTATCTGGGGAAGGATTACATAGTTGCTTGTTAGTGCAGCATCCTCACTGTGATAGGTTAGTTTTGGAATGTTTCTTCTGGAAGCAGGTGATTTAGATTTAAAAGTTCTATCTCTTTAGTAGTTTAAAGTTTATAAAATGCTTATTTTTGTAGCATTGTTTATAACAATGCTTTTGTAGCATCACTTTTTCTAACATAGATGGACAGTTGGTTTCTTGTTTGACAAATGTGTATTGGGTAGTTGATTTGAAAAGGTCAAGGGTAGGTGAAAATTTTCACTTGATGGCTTTATTTTACTCATTTTGCTCAGCCAGCTTCTATATATCTGAGTGCTCCTTTGTAGGATTTTCTTTCTCAGCTAAGTGCAGTAACCACACTAATTACAAAGTTTTAAAGATTTTGGCTTGATTTTTTTTTTTTTTTTTTGTGAGAGTAGAAATGGAAAATGGCTTAAGAAGGGTGATTGCTGGCTGGGTGCGGTGGCTCACACTGGTAATACCAGCACTTTGGGAGGCCACGGCGGGTGGATCATGAGGTCAGGAGATCGAGAACATCCTGGCCAACATGGTGAAACCCCATCTCTACTAAAATACAAAAAATTAGCTGAGCATGGAGGCACGCGCCTGTAGTCCCAGCTATGTGGGAGGCTGAGGCAGGGGAATCACTTGAACCTGGGAGGTGGAGGTTGTGGTGAGCTGAGATTGTACCACCGCACTCCAGCCTGGTGACAGAGCAAGACTACATCTCAAAAAAAAAAAAAAAAAAGGTGATTTCTGGGGTGGTTGGTTTGAGTTTATTGGTTGGTTATCCTTGGGATAGATATGGTTATAAAAAATATACTATTAGGCCATTCAGATATCATTTAGTTCAAAATATATAAAGTATAACTCCTTAGAGGGAATCTTAATAACTTTAAATTTAAATTTGAAAGCAGTTACTATAAATTTAAAGAACACATACGTCTGTTCTTTGCATTGTCACTCTATAGAGATTCAAACCAAATTCATAGAAATCTCTTGCCTGGAACAAGTTTTTATTCTTTTTAAAACATCATTCAGAAAGGCTCATTAAATCATAAAAGTAAGAACTAATTTAAAAATATAACTTGACTAATGTGTAAATGTATAATGTGTAAAATGTGCTCTAGTTAAAAGATGCTAAAGGACTGTAAGCATTTTTAGTTTCAGATTCTTATGCCATGTGTGCTGTAATTTATCCTTTCATTGCTTTGGGCTTTTGATTTAAAGGGCAGAGGTAGCCTTTTTATTTGGTAGTGCTCATGGGAGCATAAACAGTTAATGTGTAAGCATTACACGTTTCATTGAAACTTTAAAAATGATTTTCTAGAAAGATTACCTTAATTAACCAAGAACTATGTTCTTTATCAATGAATGGCTTTTCAAAGGATGATCATACTTAGGAGTAACATTAAGGTTTTATTTATTGCTTCAGAAATTTATATTCTTGACAGAATTTTTGTGGGAGTTTCTTCTAACACATCTCTTATCTGGATCTTGCTACGTTAATTCATAAAACTTCATCTTTAGCAATCTTACTTTTCTAGGCAAAGATGACAGTTAAAACATAATTTGGTGGGCTAAAAGTATACTCTGCAAACAACGTAAAGATATACTTTGAAAATACTGTATCAGTAGAAACTGTCTACATGAAATGTGAAATATTTGAAAACATGAAATGTGAAATATTTGAAAATACGAAAGAAGCTCTTCCTATCTGTTGCAACATGCATGCAGTTTTTGTAGCTTTTCTGAAGGAGTACTTCTGAAATTTGTTACTAGCATTATTTTTAAACACAGAATGGAAATTAAGTTAGATTGGACTAACCTATTTATGTTGCTAAGAATTACCATGGTGCATTTGATACAGTGTTTCATAAAGTTTATAGTGGACTTATCAATAGGTTGAATCTCTTTATTGTTAAGACAGTCAAGTCTTTTTCTGGAAATTCTAGGTAAGGTAATGTTGCCAAACCCCATTTAGGCTGGTTTTGAGACCAAGTTTCGCCATTTTATTAGGTTTATGTGACCTTGGGTGACTTTTCTACATGCCTTTGTTTTGTTATCTGTGATTCCATAATTAGAAAGAGAGTGTTGTATGGTGGTTAAGCTTCTAGAGCCTGATTTCCTGGGAGGAAATTCCAGCTTTACTAATAATTAAAAAAATACTGAGTCTCTTATGTGTAAGGCACTGTTTTAGGCACTGGGATATGTCAGTGGATAAAACAGACAAAAATTTCTTCTCTTGTGGAGCTTATAGTTAGGGCAGAAAAAAACATGAATAAGTTGGTTGTGTAATATGTTAGGAGGTGGGCAGTACAGTGCAAAATGTATAACAATAAAAGGGGGATTGAGTGTATGTGGTGGGATGTTGCAATTTCAAATGGTGTGACTGGAAGAGGCCTCATTAACAAGACTTTAGCTAGACTTGTAGTAGCTAAAGGATTTAGTTACGAGGATCTCTCAAGGAAGAGTGTTCCAGACAGAGGAACAGCCAGTGCAGTAGATTCTGCTGTATGCTGGAGATTCTGCGACAATAAGGAGGTCAGGTCACTGCTGCTGGAGTGGAGTGAACAAGGGGAGAGGCTAGAAAATGAGGTCTGAAAGATGAGGGTGGGTGGTGGTGGAGGTGGTCGTTGATGGGTGGGGGATAAGCACAGGAGTGCATGTAAGGCCTTGTAGACCCTTATAAGGAGTTCGGGTCTGCCTCTTACTACTTTTGTATTCTTTGGGAAATTATATAACCTTTTAGTTTTGTCATCTGTAAAATGTGAATAATAACAATACTATCTCATAGGTTTGTTGTTTTGATTAAGTGATTTAATACCTGTAGTGTCCTAGGAACACTACTGAGCAGAGTCCAAAGCATATATTCATTGCTTACATATTGCATATATTCTTACATGTGGAATCAACATTAAGAGATCACCTTCTTCCTTTTCTTTTGAAAAGGTAGCAAAGGGAGAGTTAATTGCTCCCTGCTTTGATTTTTCTATGATAAATTTCTTATGCTTCAATTATATCACATTATTATCACAAACATTTACTCTGTATGTGCTTATCATCCTTGCTAAATTATGAATGCCTTTGGACAGAGACCAGGGTATTTTATTATGTCTTAGGAATCTTAATGTGTTGTAAAAATATATCATGTGATAAAAAATGTTGACTGAGTTAATGACAAAAATGTTGGCTTAATTAATAAATTGGACCACCTGC
The DNA here is from genome assembly GCF_000001405.40 of Homo sapiens. Lineage (NCBI taxonomy): Eukaryota > Metazoa > Chordata > Mammalia > Primates > Hominidae > Homo > Homo sapiens. The sequence continues at coordinate 125,334,206 of NC_000003.12, read as the reverse complement.
TAGTAAGTATATTGGAACATTGCCAGTCTATCAAAACTAAATAGCGGAAGGGTGGTAGCTAATGACTTCTGCAAAATACTTGTGCATTTTATTTCTGTGCCATAATTATTCAAATTGGTATTAGTAGAAAATTTCCTTAAATATTATATAGGTATACAAGTTTGTACCATGTAAAATGAAAAGTCTTTATGTATATTATTGTGTATCTATTAACATTTGCTGTCATTGGTTGATAGGAAACAAATACTACCTTGATTGATAGCATAGATACAATAAAACTCCTACCTTAAAATACAATAGTTCCCTACTTAACAGTGGTTTGATTTAGGATATTTTGACTTTATGATGATGCAGAAGGCATAGGCGTTTAGCTATAGGCATAAACTTGTGACCTATTGGGACATAACCTCATCATAAGTCAAGGAATATCTGTATATTTTTAGTCTTAATCTGTTTATATCTGCCCAAGTGTTTATAATCAAAGATTATTTAGCCAGAAAAATGTTAAAAGAATTGCTAAGGAGGAATATTCACTGACTGCTGAAGTGGGGGAGTAGGGCAAGGAAAGAGGAAGATCTGAACTGACTTGGGTGGTTGTCCAAGTAATTTTCTATCTGTCTTTTTGTATTTGCATGGTTTCCGTTTCCATCTTAGTAGGTTCTCTTCCCCCCTTCTTGGTTGAGAGGAGTGGAAGAGAAGAAAGGGGGATAGAGGCTTGAAGAAATGAAATTAGTAGATGATGCTAAATGAATTAGGGTTCCAGAGACAGACTATGTGACAGGTGACTTGGGGGAAATTGTGGGTTTACATGGTAGAGGAGTGGTTGTGTGGGAAAGACATTCCAGAATTTCTGTTTATAAATTTATACTTTGAGGTTATATTATTTTGTGTGTATGCACGTTTCCTTTTCCTTCTTGCTTCACTATTTTATTTTTGTTTTCTTTTTACATATCTAAGTTATATTCTGTGATGTGTAGCTGCAGTAATTTAGTGCTTTCAATAAAATGTGATGCAAGAAGGTGAGTATGCTTTTTGTGAAAATGTTTTCAACGGAATGTTAAGATTTCAAAAACATTTGTCCAGTCTATAGATGTTACTAGCTCATGATGAGATGTGTAATAATATCCTGATTGTGGATTAGATACATCACATCAACTTTTAAAGACTCACAATGTTAAAATGCATAATGTGAAGACATTTTTTTCCCTGTCTATAGGCTTTGCAGTGTCCTTTTCTATTCAATTTTATTCTTGTAATTAGCAATTCTAAAAGTTGAATATAGTAATGTATGTAGCAATATGTGTACAGAATATATAATATTCTAATAGAATAGTGAACAAGCAGTGCAATGCAGAAACAGTTGTTAAAAGAAGAATTTTAGACAAATTAAATTTAGCAGAGTGTATCTGTGCAAAGAACTATTCATGAATCAGGCAGCACTCTGAACCAGGAGAGGTTTGGAGAGCTCCACCCAGCAACATAGGCAGGCAGTATTTATACACAGAAAAAGCAAGTGACAAGCAGAAATAGCTTGATTGGTTACCGCTTGGCATTTGCCTTATACGGACATGGTCTTATCAGGTGGCAGTCTGTAATTGGTTGAGGCTTGGCTACTGTGATTTGCTGAGACTCAGCTACTTGTTACAAAAATATACTCTTAAATTAGGTAGCAGTTTGTTTACATAGTAAGTTAGGTTTAATTGGCTACCTAGAGAAGCAACTTTAAACCTAATTTAATTTAACATAATTTAGCTTTACTTTACCCATTTTTAATAGTGTCTAACAGTAGTATAGTTTTATAGCTTTTATTATCCTTTTGGTACTATTGCTATAGGAGTATGTACTTAAAATAACTTTGCATAATTGAGAGGAATGACATGTATATGCTTTTGAATGCTTGGCTGCAAAACATTGAGGCAAGCAATTAGGAGCTTAGTAGAAATCAAGTATTTTAAAATAGATTTTTTTTGTTTGTAACTACCTCAATAACAAAGCTACTGACTAGCTAAATACTGGAAAATGCTAAATTATCAGAAAGACTGTACTGTTTGTAGTCCTTGATAAAGCATATGTAAATACAGCCTTGAATTGATGTACTTGGTTATTTTCTAGAGATTATCAATTTCTAGAAAATATTCTGCTTTTACATTTATGGCTTTTATTGATGTGCAAGGTATTTATGGATCCCTAAACTTGTATTAGGACTGTTACATAAAATGCTTTATCTATTGTTTCTGAATAAAATTATATTTGGCTTGTTCTTTATTTCTGATAATTCAACTTTCAGTCTTCATTACTTTCATTTAATATACCTCAGAAAAATCCCAGTTACATGAATAAAGTGATCTGTGGTCGGCATCAATGCAGTACCAATGTGGAATGTTAATTTTCTGTGTTAGTCTCTGCTAAAAGGTTAGTTATAGCATGATGTTTAAAAAATATCGATGGACCATTTTAGCATTATTAAATACCTTTTGCTTTGAACTTTTAAAATGCTGTTTGTGTTTTCAAAAACTGCATCCTTAATATATTTAGATTTTTTCAGCTGAGGGAAATGTTACTGTAAGAGTTTATCAAGAAATAGTGCTATATGAGTGTTGGAGAGTATCAAAATATGATTTTAGTGAAACACATTTGTGCTTTCCTTCCTATGTTATGATATTTAAGATGATAGTCAAGTTTATTGTCCTGACTTCAAAGAAATCTTAATCCTTCACTGGAAGTTAAGTTTGAAAAAGTCCAATTTGTATGTGAGTCATTGTTGTGATATCATTTAGCATTTGATGGCTCATTGCACTCAGACTAAGTGTTAGTTGTTACTAATTTTATTTACTCTAACAGTATCTACCATGGAAAGAATTTTGGTAGACTTAGGACACTTAAATGTAACAGTTTTACCTGACTTCTTTAAGACTATGTTTAATCCTGATTCTTTTGGGGGTTAACCTGTATTTGTGTACTTTTGTAGGATAGAGGGAGGAATCAGCAGCTTGGAAATTCAAGCACGTGATCTGGCGGGATGGGCGTTTGCCTAACGTATTTAATGGAGGTAATTCAGCATTCTTTGAGTCAATCTTTAATTTTTACCTGTAATGGATGCCCATGTTACTACACATACTTACAATAACTGTTGGGTATAAGTGTGCATTTATGGCCAATCCCTTTTCTTTTTATATTCATATAAATAACATGGTATCACTATTATAAATATTATAAATAATATGTAGATATGGACATATGTACATAGAAAAGAACATTATTAATTTTATAAGATGAAGTCAATTATCTTCTCTTAAGATTACTTGCATATCTTTTAGGCCTCATTTCCTTTATGTTAGGAAGGCAAATGATCCTCTCCTTTCTTGTTGGCCTATGTTGGTGCATATATTAAACCTATGCTTTTATCTTTCACACAACATGAAAGAAGATATCTAACAGTTTTCAAGGAGTTTACATATATGTCAGTGGCACATACTCATGTCAGTTATTAATGATCATAAAAATTCTTCTGTTTGTTGTATTTTTAATTTTTAATTTTTTAATAGAGACAGGGTCTCGACTATGTTGCCCAGGCTGGTCCTCAACCCCTGAACTCAAGTAGTCCTCTTGCCTCAGCCTCCCAAAGTGCTAGGATTACAGGTGTGAGCCACTGTACCCGGCCTGATCATAAAAATTCTAAAATTTCTCTGTGCATTTTAAAATTTGTTTTTTGAGAATTTTTTTTTTTTTTTTTTTTTTTTTGAGATAGGGTTTTGCCCTGTTGCCCAGGCTGGAGTGCAGTGGTGTGATCTTGGCTCACTGCACCCTCTACCTGCGGGGCTCAAGTGATCCACCCACCTCAGGCCTCTCAAGTAGCTGGGACCACAGGCACATGCCACCACACCTGGCTAACTTTTGTGTTTTTTCTTGAGATAGGGTTTTGCCATGTTGCCCAGGCGGGTCTTGAACTCCTGAGCTCAAGCAATCCATCCGCCTTGGCCTCCCAAAGTGCTGGGATTATAGACCTGAGCCACTGCGCTCAGCCTGAGAATTCTTTTTCACCTTGTGGATTGAAATTATTTGGAGTTTCAGAAGCCATATTTTAGGATTTTCCTGTTTTTACCATATCTTCTGATAATTGTCATGTTCAACATTTTTCACTTCTTTACCCACGTTTATTATAATAGGTGTATACACTTAGGCAATAGAGAATGTTATAACATCGAAAAAAGGCTTTCCAACCCTTCCCCATTCAGTATAATCATTGTATATCCTTCCAGACAATTTCTATACATATACAAGTATTTATATGTGTGCTTATATTTACACATTTTTTTACACAAATGAGATCACACCATATTATTCAGTAATATTAAAAAATAAACTTCCACATTTTTGCAAATCATTCCTTTTCACTTTATGCTGCATAGTATTCTGATATTTGGACATATCATAATTTGTCTAATTAGTCATCTACTTATGGATATTTAGGCTTTTTTTTTTGCTATTATAAATGATGATGTAGTGAATATTCTTGGGTACACCTTTGCACATATTTAAAAATATATCTGGCTAGGCGCGATCGCTCATGCCTGTAATCCCAGCACTTTGGGAGGCCAAGGCAGGTGGATCACTTGAGGTCAGGAGTTCGAGACTAGCTTGGCCAACATGGTGAAACCCCAGCTATACTAAAAATACAAAAATTAGCCAGACAGGTGGGTGCCTGTTACCCCAGCTACTCGGGAGGCTGAGGCAGAAGAATCGCTTAAACCCAGGAGGCGGAGGTTGCGTTGAGCCAAGATGCCACCACTGCACTCCAGCCTGGGCGACAGAGCGAGACTCTGTCTTTAAAAAAAAAAAAAAAAAATTTTATATATGTAAAATTTTATATATATATAAAAAATTATATATATATCTGTAGTATGAATATACATATATACATATACATATAAATATACATTCATATGTATATACTACAGATATATATATCTATACATATATTTATACTACAGATATATATGTGTTTTTCCATATCTTCTGATAATTGTCATGTTCAACATTTTTCACTTCTTTACTCATGTTTATTATGATAGGTGTATACACTTAGGCAATAGAGAATGTTATAACATCGAAGAAAGGCTTTCCAACCCTTCCCCATTCAGTATAATCATTGTATATCCTTCCAGACAATTTCTATACATGTACAGATATATATATATATATATATATCAGTAGTATAAATTCCGAAGGGAAAAATTATTGGACCAAAGATTATGTACATTTAACAATTTGGTGGATAAATTGCCTAACTCTAAAAAGAAGGCCAAATATCAGTAGTCTATGAGAGAGGGGATCTCTCTATCTCTTTGACAACACTAGCTAGTGTCAAACTTTTTAATATTTGTCAGTTTTTTGTTGATTAGCTTTTCTTTTCTTATGAGTGAGTTTGAGGATTTTCTCCATTATTATTGGCCATAATGTGTGTTTTCAGTTACCAATTTGGTCATGTGCTTTGCCCTTTTATGGAGCTCTTTATATACTTGTATATTAAGGAAAGGAGCCTCTTGTCATTTTTTTTTTAAGTTTTCCAATTGACAGTTGTATATACTTATGAGGGTATAATGTTTTTTATTTTTGCTTGACACATACATAGTGTATATTTATGGTAACATACATAGTGTATATTTAAATTTTACACACTATTAAAATTACTGTATATTCAAAATAAACACTTTATATATTTTGATACATGCTTACATTGTGTAATGATCAAATCTGGCTAATTAGAGTATTTTCATCACTTCAAATATTTACCATTTCTTTGTGAGCCTCTTGTCATTTATTAGACAAATTACTTTTGCTCATCTTTTGATTTTATTATTTTGCCCAATAGAAGTTTTCATTTTTTATTGTTGAATATAGTAATCTCATCTTCCATGGCTGAGGTGGGCAGTGAAGAACAGTTCTGTGTTAGATTTAAAGGTCTTTATCATTGATTATAGGGCTCACTTTTCGCTCCAGGTTGTAGCATCTCTGAATGACATGAGTCTCTAACTTATACTTTGACTTTTGCTTCTTTTTCTTTTTTTTCTTAAATTAGTTTGGCCAGGTGTCTTTAGGAAGAAAAAGAAATATACATAAATAATTATCTTTTAAAATATAAATAATAGGTATTGGGACTCATGATGGAAGAATAGGTATACATTCATAATGACAACTACAAAGATAAAATGCCTGAGAGCATATTACTTAAAAAAAAATTTGAAACTGTATGGAAGAATGAGTATTTGAATCAGTTACATTTTTTGATAGGAGGATACATATGAGACTCTTCTTCAAATATATATTTAAAGCTGTATATTTTAAGTATTGCGTTTGCTGCATCCTGTAAATTTTGATATTTGTTTTCATTTTCATTAGTTAAAAATATTTTCTAATTTCCCTTTACATTTTGTCTTTGTTATTTAGAAGTTTGAAGTTTAATTTCCAAATGTTTGTGGATTTCCCAGTTTTTTAGTTGATATCAAATTCAATTCTGGTATGGTTAGAGAACATATAAATGTATTTGTTTGTAAGACAGGGTCTTGCTGTGTTGCCCAGGCTGGTCTTGAACTCCAGGGCTTAAGCAATCCATCCACCTCAGGCTCCCGAAGTGCTGGGGTTACAGGCATGGGCCACGTTGTGCGGCTCAGACAACATATTTTTATGACTTCAATCCATTTAAGTTTAGTGAGACTTATTTTATGGCCCCGCGTGTGGCCTGTCCTAGAGAATGTTTTAAAACTGTATGTATTCTAGTATTGTTTGGTAGTGTTTTCTATATATGCCACTTAGGTATAGTTGGTTGATAGTGTGGTTCAGGTCTTCTCTGTCTTTGCTAATTTTCTGTCTAATTATTCTGTCACTTATTTAGAGTGGGACATTGAGATCTCCAAATATAATTGTTGAATTTTTAATTTTTCCTTTCAATAATGTTAGTTACTGCTTCATTATTTTGGGACTCTTTTTAGGTGCATACACGGTTATTATATCTTCCTGATGTTTTGACTGTTTATTATTACGAAATATCTTTCTTTGTCTCTATAGTCTTAAAGTCTGTTTTGTCTGATGTTAATATAGCCATTCTGTCTCTTACAGTTACTGCTTCTATAGTATATCCTTTTTTTCCCATCCTTTTACTTTCAGTTTTGAATGTAGGATATGTCTTGTTGACAGCATATAGTTGGAATTTGTGTTTTTATCCTTTCCGACAGTCGCTGCCTTTCCACTGGACTATTTAGACCATTCATATTTAATTAGGGATATGGTTGGATTTACATTTGCCATTTTGGTATCTGCTACACACACACACTATATATATATATATCTTTATATACATATATATCTGTATACATATATAAAAAGATATATATCTTTACATATATAAAAAGATATCTTGATGTATGTATATAAAGATATATATATCTTTATATGTATATATACATATAAATATGTATATTTATATACATATATAAAAAGATATATATACATATATAAAGCAAGTATATATATATATACTCATATATATAGTGTCATTTCACTATGGTTTATATATGATATGATCCTTTATATATATATGTATCTTTGCATAGATACAGGTAGATATCACCTATGTTTTTGTTCCTTTGTTTCCTCTATTGCCTTTTGTGTTAAATACTTTTTAGTGTGCCATTTTAATTACTCCATTGATTTTTTTAACTATATTTTTAAAGATATTTTCTTTGTGGTTGCTGTCAGGATTATGCATTTTAACAGGCTGCTTATTATCAGTAAGATAAACTTTCTTCCAATGTAGGTCCATTTTCTCTTCTTTATTGTACTGCTATTGTAATATACATCTGTATATATTATAAACCCAGTAGTACAGTGTCGTGATCATTGCTTTATACATTCTTAGGTCTTTTAAAGGGAGGAAGAAATGAGAAAAATATGTTTATGGAGTGTTTTTTGAATTAATCCACATATTTGCCATTTCTGATGCTCTTCAATTCTTTCTGTGGATTTAAGTCTGATGTGTTTTCCTTTCAGCTTAATGGGCTTCCTTTAGTGTTTGTTTAAGGCAGGTCTACTAGCAAAAAAAATTTTCTCAATATTTGGTTATCTGGGAATATTTTTTCATTTTTGAAGGATAGTTTTGCTGTCTTCTTGGTTGACAGCTGTATCTTTCAGCTTTTTGAATATGTGATTTCCCTGTCTTTCTTGCCTCTATTGTTTCTAACTGGAAGTTAGCCACTAATCTCTGCATATGCTGAATCATTATTCTCTTCCTGCTTTCAAGATTTTTCTCCTTGGGTTTGCTTTCAACAAGTTTGACTATGTTGTGTCCAGGTGTAGGTTGCTTTATATTTTCCTACTTGAAATTCATTGTGCTTCTTAGATCTGTAGATTTATTTTCCTTAGAAAAATTAAATTTGGGGCCAGGTGTGGTGGCTCATACCTATAATCCCAGCACAGGTGGGGATTTGGGAGGCCAAGATGGTCAGATCACCTGAGGTCAGGAGTTCGAGACCAGCTTGGCTAACATGGTGAAACCCTGTCTCTACAAAAATACAAAAATTAGCCAGGCATGATGGAGGGTTCCTGTAATCCCAGCTACTCGGGAGGCTGAGGCAGGAGAATCGCTTGAACCGGGGAGGCAGAGGTTGCACTGAGCCAAGATTGTACTATCGCACTCCAGCCTGGGCAACTGAGTGAGACTCTGTCTCAAAAAAAAAGTAAAAGTAAGTTTGGCAAGTTTTTGGCCAATATTTTATTAATTTTTTTTTTCTGCTCTTTCTCTTCTTTCCTGGTACTCAAAATGTTGGTAAGCTGAATGTTGTTCCATACGTCTTTGAGGCTCTGTTCATTTTACTTCCATCTTTTTCTACTCTGTTTTTCAGAGTGGATGGTTTCTATTGATGTATCTTAAAGGTCACTGATTTTCTTTTGCCATAAATCTGTTGAGCCCTTCTGATGAATTTTTTATTTCTGTTACTGTATTCTTAAACTTCAGGATTTCCATTTGGTTCTTTTACATAATTTCTGCATCTTTGTTGAAGATCTCTTATTTGTTGATTGCAGTTTTTCATAATTAAAAAACTTTAAAACATGAGTTCCTTTTAACATATTTAACATATGTATAATAGATATTTTACATAATATATTGTAACAACTCTGGATTGTGATGAGCCCCTCCCCTCTTATTGTTACTGTTGTCATTTCACTATAGTTTATATATGATACAATCCTACTGAGAAAAATAAATTTTACTTTGCACAAAAGTGTATCTGGCAAAAGAGATATACATGAATATCCAGGAAAATTCTGAAATGCAGGAGTACTGAGAGGTGAATAGTTCTACAAGAATTTGAGCTCTTAAAAAAATATATAAACTGTTGAAATGTTTTTTAAAAAATGAATTAATATTATACTTTCTGAAGTTCAAAGAGGAAATCATTAGTGATATGGATGTAGGTGGGAAAGACTATTTATTCTTTTTGCCTTTGTACCATCATAAGCTAATGTAAAATCATAGGATCTTTCATGTATCATCTGGTCTCCACACTTCTTGTGAAGGAGTGTATGTGAACTATTCTTGATAGATAGGAATCTAATATTTTAAGAACCTCCAGGGTAGGAAATTCCATAAAATCTTTAGTTTGTTAACTATGCTCAGAATACTTACTGTCAGGAAGTTTTCTTCCTGTGTATAGCCTGTACTCTGTTTTTGTTTTGAGTGTGCTAAAAATTTTCCATATGATTTTATCTATCTTTTTTGTCAGCTTTTCTCTGTCACTGGTAATCTTGCTGGGAATCTTGCTGATTTTATAACCATAATCGTTTCTATTGTTTTTGGCCACTAGAATTTTATGTTGAATTTATATAATAGTTTCTTTTAAGTTTTGGCATGCGTTAGTTCTGTTTGTTTGTAAGGCCTGCCATTGTGTTTCTTCTCTCTTCACTTCATAGACTTTAACAAAGCAGGTATGATTACTGTTTGTAAGTAGTTTCTTTTTATTTTTTTTATTATTATACTTTAAGTTTTAGGGTACATGTGCACAATGTGCAGGTTAGTTACATATGTATACATGTGCCATGCTGGTGCACTGCACCCTGTAAGTAGTTTCTTAAGTTTTGTTTTTTCTAACCTTTTAGGTTTGTAATTATCTGAATTTCCTTGAATATCCTGTATCTTTGAGGCTGTAGACTCCACATCTAGGCAATTGTTCTTTTTTCCTTTTTTTTTTTTTTGAGACAGAGTCTCGCTCTGTTGCCCAGGCTGGAGTGCAGTGGCGCAATCTTGGCTCACTGCAAGCTCTGCCTCCTGGGTTCACGCCATTCTCCTGCCTCAGCCTCCGAGTAGCTGGGATTACAGGCGCCGGCTGCCACGCCTGGCTAATTTTTTGTATTTTTAGTAGAGACGGGGTTTCATCATGTTAGCCAGGATGGTCTCAATCTCCTGACCTCGTGATCCGCCTGCCTCGGCCTCCCAAAGTGCTGGGATTACAGGCGTGAGCAACTGCGACTGGCCGGCAATTGTTCTTTATAAGGCCAAGTTTATTTCTCATTTACTGTCTACTTACCACTATTGTATTTTCCCAATTTCAAACATAAAAACAAGTCAGTACATTGGTCATTCAGTCATAACTTACTGTATTTAGAAAGAATTTTCACTTCAGTATTCATACCAATTTGCACATATTATATTTGTATAGTATCTTTTCCTACCATAAATAATGTTTGTTGTGTGTGTGTTTTATTGTAGGAATCGGATGGCATAAGTGATTAAGGTGGTATTGAGGATTTCTGAAGCCTATGAAAGGTAGAAACTCAACCATGATTTCTTTTTCAACTCTACAGCATTCCTTTCCTTGAAGTCTTCGTTTTTACCTTAGTCTCGGGTAATTTTAATACTTATTTTTCATAATCTTGAATAAATAAGTTTTTTCAAATATGAAGTCATTGTGTTCAGCTGCTAGAATTTTATACTGAATTTATATAATAGTTTCTTAAAGTTTTGGTATTTATATTTGGAAGAAACTAGTTTTTTTCCTGAGAAAAGAAATTTAAATGATGAATAATGATGTCATTTTAGACTCTAACACAACAAAAATGTGTAGTCTTAAGTGAAATTTAATTGAGAGTTATTTTCTTGGTTTAACACTTTTTCTCAACAGGGTATAGCATTTTTTACCCCCTATCCTGAACACATATACACTCATTAAGTTTCCCAGAATTTTCAGAGAAACTGTTTTCATACCGAGGAAAGTTAGACATGTTAGTCAAATTTAATGATGTTTGCTATATAATTTTTAAAATGTGAGAAAACATATCAGTTTTTATACATCTATACATGTTGTATGTATGCCTGCACTAATATAAGGAAGCAGTCTTATAGATAATTCAGTAATCACTTAAGTTTGATATATTAGTATATAGACTTGGCTACTGTGACAGAGGCTTATAAAGGTAGAAATATATTTATATTTACTTGAAAAGTCTGTGTAAACTATCTTGAGATTAAATGGAGGCTGCAAAATCACTGTGTCCCAGGGCTCCTTTGTCTTGCTCTGCTCTTCTTCTATGCAGTTTCTGTATTGTGGGCGAGGATGGTTACCATTGTGTCTGCTAATAAGAAGAAAAAGAGAAGGGCATTCTCTTTACCTTTAAGAGGAGTTTGTGTATATCACTTTCACTCAGATCCCTCTGGCTCTTTGTCACGTCACAACCAGTTGCAAAGGAGGCTGGGAAGTGAGTGACTCTGACCTAGGCAGCCATATGTTGCACTTAATTTTTATTACTGCATAAGAAGGAGAGAACAGATTCTGGGGAGATAGCCAGCTATCTGTCACATTAAGGTTTGAGTCAGATTTATTTTCATTAAAAAAAAAAAAATGGCCTCAGGCCTGTAATCCCAGCAGGCTGGCAGGCTGAGGCTGGTGGATCACGAAGTCAGGACATCGAGACCATCCTGGCTCACACGGTGAAACCCTGTCTCTACATACAAAAAAAATTAGCCGTGCGAGGTGGTGGGCCCCTGTAGTCCCGGCTACTCGGGAGGCTGAGGCAGGAGAATGGCGGGAACCTGGGAGGCATAGCTTGCAGTGAGCTGAGATGGCACCACTGCACTCCAGCCTGGGTGAGAGCGAGACTCTCTCTCAAAAAAAAAAAAAAAAAAAAAAGCCGTTGATTATTTAAACAGTTAACTTTTTTGTTGTTGTTCTGGAATGAGTCTTGGTTACTGTATAGTATGTATTAAAAATAACCATTAGCAATCTAGGCATAGTGGTATGTGCACAGTCCCATCTCATGTAATTAAAAAAAAAAATTAGGTGTTTAACATTTGTTCATAGTATACAGGGAAATTTTGTTTTAAGAAGTTTTTTTAAAATATTTATTATGTAAGATTACAGAAACTATAGTTTGAATATTAATGTTTGAATTATTGATATTTGCATAAAATGTAATGGATGCAATGACTAGATCCAACAGAATGTCAGATTCTGCTTTGCGTGAACTTTTTTTTTACCTTTTCCCTCCCCCTCTCCTTGTTAAGATAAATTATAGCTGTTTCTTAAACTGTTTGGATTTCCATAAATTTGATGTTTTAGTATTTCTAAATACTACTATCTTCTTGATGTTACATTGTTTTACAAAACAGATGATAAGTATTTGGAATGCAGAATATGCCTAGATTCTGTTTTATTTGAGAGGGGCTTCAGTGTGGTATAGAAATGCCTGTTAACTTTGACTTATTCAAATATTTATAAATTATTTTTCTGTGGTGAAAAAATAGAGTTTTTTTTAAAGCTTTTAGGTTTTTAAAGTCATATAAAATGATTATTGTTAACGTGTAAGTTTTCTGATTAATACTTGTGTTAGCAGCTATTGAAATAGATATTTGTTTAAACATCCTTTCTTGTTAGCACTGATCAGAGACCATTTTGTCCAGTTACCATTATTATAAATGATGTTCCTATTAGGATATTTTGAAATAGTAGTACTTTAAAAATTAACATGGTTTAGAAGATATGTTTTATAGATACAAAATGGTAGTTATACAGAGGTATATCTGAAGAGGTCTTTGAATGTACTTAGACAAGAAATAGATTTTGTTTTATTAATAAGAGATGAAGTAGTTTCTGCTTAGATCAAAACTATACTTTTCAAGGATGAAAGCAAATACAAAACTTCTTCAGAATAACAAATAGCAAATTTGTTAAAGGTTCTGGTATTAATCATGGGTTTCATCTCACCAAATGATCTGGAGGCCGGTTGATATTTGTATTTCTAATGCTGATATTTTTAAGGTATAATTTCTCACGGTTAGAAACATAGGTTAGAAATGTTAATATCCAAGTTAATGTAACTGGCATCCTCCAAATAACAGAGTGCTTTGGATCAGAAGTAATTTGTGAAATCTAGCTTTTTTCTTTTACCTGTTTTCAGAACAAGTTCCTTTGAGTGCTTCTCTTGGCTTACAAGTGAAGTTTCATTTTAGATTGAATGGGTTCTGTTACAAAGTCAGGGGAAGAGGTATTACTGAATTTGTGAGAATATTTTAAGTTGGGAATTACTCTTTTTATACAAAAGACGATGATGATTAGGTTCAGAAGCTTGCCTATTATAACCTGCTTTGACTCATAGTTGAAGTTCCATATTATTCAAAAAAGTTTATGGAAAATAATATTACTACCAAACTCAATAAATGAAACAGAAACGTAGGATCTCTAAGTGAGAAATATTTATTTCTTTCATGCTCAAATGCAGATTAATTAAAGGTAATAAGTGACACATGGATGTTCATATACATTCAGAAAGGGAACTTGGTGCTTTAAAAAATTTTAGAGCATATAGCACAAGCCTTCAAATCTGTTTTCATTTTAAAATGTACAGCCCTCTTTTTTTGATACAGGTGTATCATTAGGACTGACTGGTTTTACATTTATTAGCCATATTTAGGATTATTTTTAAATTTTCAATTGGAATGGGAAGGTAGAGAGATTTTCCTGGTAAGGCTTTGAGAAAACAGAGGGAGGAAGGTAGCTTAAGAAGATACATTTAAACACATGAAAAAGAAAGAATGGCTGAGGAGAAATTCACTGAGATATGAGTAACAGATAGAAAATTGGAAAATAGAAAACGTGGAAAGTGTTGAATCCTCCCACAGGAGAAAAGGGGATTCTGTGTCGGAAAGTTCTCCCATAGTAGCCATGAGGTGGAGTAGTCAGCTAAGGACAGTTTGATTGCTTTGCCAAGCCAAGCAATGATGACAGAAGGCCTTAAGAGCAGGTGGTGAGAGGACAATGAGAGTTCAACTACTTCCTAATGTGTCCAGGGCCTTTTAAAGTCAGGAAATAGTGTGATAAGGTAAAAAGTGCATTGAGTCAGGTAAGTCTGGTTTGAAATCCCAGTTTACTTCTGAGCTATGTATCCTTGGGTAAGCCCCAATTTGTCTGTTAAATGGGGATATGCTGTTACTGTCTTGAGGGTTATTGTAAATATTAAGTAAGGTAATATATTTAAAGGTGCCCAGCACAGTGTCTTACATCTCAGCACACATTAGTTGTCTTTCCTCTCCAGGTTTTCATAATTTCTGAATTTTAGAATACAGACATAAACATATTAATTTGGAAAGACCTCATTAATTGTATAAAACTCCCATTACAAAAAACCTCAGCAAGCATTTTTTTCCCAGTTTTTAATTGACCCTTGTAGAACAAGCAAGCATTTTTAAGAGCCTTGTATATTTGATTAAAAATGAGTAGTAGTGCCCAACTTGTCCATTTGTAATGCTTCTGTTAACTTTGTCCTCTGAAGATGAGCCCAGACAGTTCCCCGAGTTTTGGACATAATTGTCAAAAACATTTGTATTAAAAGCCTATGTATTTAATTCCTTATTAAAAGCCCCGACCGAAAACTGTTTACTCTGTTTCAACTTAATATAAATCTATAAAGCTTAGTTTTTAATTACTTACACATAATTGATTAGAAACATTAAATTAGAAGGTGACCACAAGAAGAGTCAGCTATTTCTTCTGGTAGACAGGAGAAAGGTAATGGCAGATAATTTACGTTCTTTTTAAGTAGCCCTCTGCCACTAGGCTTAAATGACTAGAGGGTTACCTAAGCCACTGCAGTTAGGCTTTTACACAGCTGAACTAAACACGTGTCAATAGGAAGGATGTTAGGTGTGTGGGGGGGTTGGGAGTGGGAGCAGGGAGGGGAAATTTAATGGAACTGGAAGTTGTGTTGTGGCCCCCTAGATACCCCTGTAGACAGTTTCTCTCGCAGAGGGATGGTGATGAGGGAAGAATAAATCATGGAAGCGGGGGAAGAATGCAGAATTTGAAGTAATCTGCGAAAGGGAGATTTAGGAGAAATTGGCCTGAGTTGGTCTCCTTCCTTTCTCTTTCCTGCTCCGTTGTAGTTTTCATCATTCTCTGCTCTGGGTAACTTGCAGTGCAGAGGAAGGATTGCCTCTCACTCTTAGCTGAATTAGCCCTTGGACATCATTTTCCAGTCTGTCTTGGTTCTTAACAGCGCTGCCATTTTGTACTCTGTGGTGTCAGCTGCCTAAGGTCTCTACAAGATAAAGGGTCTTCACAGGGAGCTCAGAGTGGCTTATTACTCCACGTATTTTCTTTTCTTTCCAGTTGGATAGAGGTTCCTTGAAGCTGAAATTAATTGTTTAGTTTTTTTTTCCCTTCCAAATCAGTCTTCCATGTGAGTAATAAGATTTAAAGGAAGCATTCTTTCTTTCCTCCTCTCTTCTGTGTAGTATCCCTAGCCCCTGACTTTCCATTAATTATACACACATTTGGATTAGAAAGCAGTTGGCTTTTTGAGGAGTTAACAGGAAGAGACAGTTAATTATTTACATATTAGTGTGGCTTGATTACCTCAGTTTTCTTTCTTTACACTTGGCTGATCCTCCCTAAAAATAATGAAATTAGAGGAGGGATATGGCATGTGTTAGCTTTTGAGCATGGGACCTTTTGTTGTATTTGGATTTTTGAATATGCAGTGAGGCACATGAGAGCTTTGACTGAGACCACTTAAGAGTTTAAGTGGGAAAGGTTAAAACCATAATGGCATAGAAGGGAGGTGCAAGGACAATAAAAATGTATTTTTTTTTGTACTTTTATCTTTCATTATTAAGTGTAGCTTTATCCTATTCCCTTTTTCCATGGGCCTGGTAAAATTTCCTGGCCAGAGACAGGTTGAGGTATATGATAGAGGTATGACTCACTTTGTCTTTGAAACATATTTTAAAATAACACTAAGTCTTTGTTTTAAAATAAAGAAGAAAAACAAGACCTAGAGTCAATTCTGTTACTCATACCCTGTTAGCTTGCCGTAACATTAAAGAAAGAAAAGATGTTGGTACATGAAAAAGGAATAATAAAAAGTCAAAATTAGTCTTCTTCATGAAGATCCTTTCTTATTTCATTTTCCAAATTCCAGGTAAGTTTCTTACCAGAAAAAAAAAAAAATATATATATATATATGTGTGTGTGTATATGTATTTCTCTCTCTCTCTCTCTATATATATATATATATATAAAAGATCTTACTATCTACATAGTTCTCCTTGATTTTTTTTCACTTAATGTATCTTGGAGAATCAGCACATAATGCTAACGTCATTCCTTTTAATGGCTGCATGTGTTCCATTGTATGGCTGAGTCATAATTAATTTAACAAGTCACCTGTCTATGGATGCTTAAATTTGTTTCCAGTCTTTTCCCATTGAAGGGTTGTAGCAAACATCCTTATACTTACTTCTTTGGTGAATGTCTATGAATAAACCCATAAGGTTGTATACTGTATATCCCTAGCAGTGAGATTGCTGGATCAAGAGTACATACAGTTTTCATTTTGATAGATATTTCCAAAGCTCATTTTAAAACTTTGTCTTATTTAAAACCTTGTGTCCATTGATATTGGAGTCTGTTTTGGTATCTTAGTACTTGCTGGTATTTTGGGGAAATTTCAGGGTATTTCAAAAACAGTTTCTAGGCCAGACAGTTTAACTCCAAATATATGCCTTAATTTGGGGCCATAGGAATAAGGAACTTAGTAAAAAGGAAGTGAGATTTCTTTTTCTTTGCATGTGGTTGGTTTTCAGGAATATTTTTGAAGAGGTCATTTGTTTTTCATTTGGAGTATTTCCACTTTGTCTTCACTTTACTACTTCTGTATCAAGGTGTGCTCTCTTCCTGTTCCAAGTCTCTCACTCTAGTACTTTATGCCTTTTTTCCAAAATATTATCTGTCCCCAGAGTACTACTACTTCCTCAATATTTATTGTTTTGGCTTGATGCTAGGCATAAGATTAATTTAAAAAAATCACATCGAGCTAAAAATCTTCTGCACAGGAAAGGATACAGTCAATAAAGTGAAGAGACAACCCACAGAATGGGGGAAAATATTTGCAAACTACCCATCTGACAAGGGATTAATAACCAGAATATATACGGAGCTCAAACAACTCTATAGGAAAAAAAATCTAGTAATTCAATCAAAAAATGGGCAAAAGATTTCAATAGACATTTCTCAAAAGAAGAGATATAAATGGCAGACAGGCATATGAAAAGGTGCTCAACATTGTTGATCATCAGAAAAATGGAGATCAAAACTGCAATGAGATGTCATCTCACTCCAGTTAAAATGGCTTATATCCAAAAGACAGGCAATTACCAATGCTGGTGAGGATGTGGAGAAAAGGGAACCCTTCTATGCTGTTGGTGGGAATGTAAATTAGTACAACCACTGTGGAGAAAAGTTTGGTGGTTCCTCAAAAAACTAAAAATTGAGCTAGCATACAATCTAGCAATCGCACTGCTGGGTATATTTCCCCTAAAAAGGAAATCAGTATATTAAAAGATAGTTGCACTCCTGTATTTGTTGCAGCACTGTTTACAATAGCTAAGACTTGGAAGCCACCTAAGTGTCTGTGAACAGATGAGTGGATAAAGAAAATGTACATATGCACAATGGAGTAGTATTCAGCCATAAAGAAAGAATGAGATCCAGTCATTTGCAACAACACGGGTGAAACTGGAGATCATTATGTTAAATGAAATAAGCCAGGCACAGAAAGACAAATGCATGTTCTCATTTATTTGTGGGATCTAAAAATCAAAACAGTTGAACTCATGGATATAGAGAGTAAAAGGGGATAGTTACTAGAGGCTGAGAAGGGGAAGGTGGGGATAGTTAATGGGCACACACAAAAAAATAGAAAAAATGAATAAGACCTACTATTTGATAGCACAATAGGATGACTATAGTCAATAACAACTTGATTGTGCATTTAAAAATAAAGAGTGTAATTGGGTTGTTTGTAGCTCAAAGGGTAAATTATTGAGGGGATGGATACCCCATTCTCCATGATTTGCTTATTTCACGTTGCGTGCTTGTATCAAAATATCTCATGTACCCCATAAATGTATATACTTATGTATATATTTACTCCCTCCATTTTTTTTTTTTTTTTTGAGATGGAGTCCTGCTCTGTCACCAGGTTGGAGTGCAGTGGCTCGATCTCGGCTCACTGCACCCTTCCCCTCCTGGGTTCAAATGATTGTCCTGCCTCAGCCTCCTGAGTAGCTGGGACTACAGGCATGCACCATCATGCCCAGCTAATTTTTTTGTATTTTTAGTAGAGACAGGGTTTCACCATGTTGGCCAGGATGGTCTCGATCTCCTGACCTGCTGATCTGCCCGCCTCGGCCTCCCAAAGTGTTGGGATGACAGACGTGAGCCACTGCACCCGGCCAATGTTTTATATATTTAAAACATAAAAATATAGTTATTTTATATATTTAATGGTTGTTTCTAAGTTTTCTTTAGTGATTTGTCTGATAGTGTTCCTGTCAGTTTATTGATCTCTTCTAATTTTTAAGGTATTTTAATATATTAAGGATATGGAGTTTTTGACTGATGTTACAAATACTTTTCACCAGTTGATTCTTAAGGATTTCCAAATAAATGGACAGAATAATGAAATTTTAGCATTAAGAGACTTGTTTCATTTAGTTTTAGTTTGTTTTCTAAGAAATGTGATAAATGAAATTTTTGAAGAGAGCAGCTATTTGGTGATGTATGTAACATCTTTGACCTTTATTTTTATTTGTTTATTTTTGAGACAGGGTCTTATTCTGTCACCTAGGTGGAGTGCAGTAGTACAGTCACAGCTCACTGCAGCCCCAACATCCTGGGCTCAAGCCATCCTCCTGCCTCAGCCTCCCAAGTAGCTGGGACCACAGGTGCGTGCCACCATGCCCAGCTCATTATTGTATTTTTATTTTGTAGAGATGGGGTTTTGCCTTGTTGCCCTAGCTGGTCTCAAACCCCTGGGCTCAAGCGATACGCCCGCCTCGGCCTCCTAGAGTGTTGGAATTACAGGCGTGAGCTACCATACCCAGCAATCTTTGACCTTTAGATTTTAACTTTACTACCTAAAGATTTTGAAAAGTGAAATCAGATGTTTTGTACAGATATACTGTATATATTCTAGGTTGATAATACCTGGTACCAGGGAAGAAAGATTAGCAAGTTATGAATTACACATTTGTGTATTTTGCTGTTTATAAGGTTTTTTTGAGCTGTTCATTTCAGTAAAGTTTTCTCTGTTAATGATAACCTTAGTAAAGGAAAGAGTATTTTGATTTCAGTAGTGTGTTGGAATTTAACTTAGGTATTTGACTGCTGAAAACTATGATCAAAGTTGGTCATTACTTAGGTGATTAATTTGGGAAAGAAGTGACTAAACTGAAATATACTTAACATTTTCGTTATGGTATTGACTACTGTAGTGATTTTCTGTGTCTACCTTTGTTTACATTTTTTATTTCATCAAGATAAATTCCAAAATGTAGAATTCCTTGTTCAAAGAATATGTACATTTTTATAGCTTTTGATACGTTTCATAGCATTTGATACCAAATGGCTTTTGAAAATAGTTGATCTAATACATACTTTTATTATCAGTAGATGAGTGTCTTTTTTTAATACTTCAACATTGGATGTATTTTTTAAGAGTCATTATCAGTTTGGTAGATGAAATATGATAGTGCTGTTTAATGGTAATTTCTTGGATTACTGCTGAGACTCTTTTTTATATGCTTAATGACTATTTCTAAATTTTTAAAAATGATTTGCTTGATGATGTTCTGTCAGTTTATTCCTTACTGAATTCATCTCTATTTTTAACACATTTCAATATATTATTAATATATTAAAGAATATGGATCCCTTGACTGATGTTACAAATACTTTTCCCTAATTTGTTTTTATGTCAGGCTTATTTTTCAATAATAAAGTAGTTAGGATTTGATGCCTTTATATGAAAATGAAAATTTGTGTTTTATTCTACCAGCCTTTGGAAACCGATATTGGTATTATAATTTTAAAATTGGAGGCAGTTCCAAAGTACATCAATAAAATCTTTGTATTTGAATGTTCAAATTCTTAATTTGAAAATTTAAAATGAAGTAGTCATATAAAACTAATTTACTATGTTTTGTTGCCAAACTTGGTTTTCTAGGCAGTTATACTTAAGCATGAACATTGACGACAAACTGGAAGGATTGTTTCTTAAATGTGGCGGCATAGACGAAATGCAGTCTTCCAGGACAATGGTTGTAATGGGTGGAGTGTCTGGCCAGTCTACTGTGTCTGGAGAGCTACAGGATTCAGTACTTCAAGATCGAAGTATGCCTCACCAGGAGATCCTTGCTGCAGATGAAGTGTTACAAGAAAGTGAAATGAGACAACAGGATATGATATCACATGATGAACTCATGGTCCATGAGGAGACAGTGAAAAATGATGAAGAGCAGATGGAAACACATGAAAGACTTCCTCAAGGACTACAGTATGCACTTAATGTCCCTGTAAGTAATTCCTTTATAAGATATTAAACTTAGAAACATAATTTTTTGTTACGTAATACTGCAAGTCATCGAAGAAATTTCAGAAAATGTTTCAGGGCTAAATAGTGTTCTTGAATAGATATACTAAAATATTGACATAAATCATATTTGAAAGGCAAAATTAAGTTCTTGTATTATATTATTTTAGAAGCTTATTTCTTTCAGGATAACAATATTTCTCAGGATTATTTTGGTATTAAATTTTAAATGCTTAATTTTAAAAGATATTTTATCTAACTTCTAGGTTTCTCCTTAAAGAGTAAAACATTTGAATCTTCAACGTAACTAGAAAAATATCACACATTCAAGGGTTTTTCCTACAAATTCTGTAATTCTTGCCTTCTTAAATTTTTCTAATATGCTCCTATTCTCTGTTCTCTTTGTATCCTCCGCTTGCTTGATCTGTTTATCTTTTTAAAGTATATCAGCCCTTTACTCTTTCCTATCTACCTCAGACGTCATTTAAGATGTTTCATAAGCACCCATATGTTTTTCCTTCTTCTACCTTTATTTTTACCCAATAATCAGTGAAACCACAACCATCATGTAAATTCTTGTCTCTTCTTTCTATGATATCAAACCTGGGTTCCTTTCAGTTCATCTAACATGTACTTTTTCTTTTGCTTTAGGACTTTAATATATCCTGCTTGAGATATTACCCTCAGTCATACTTCATACCTGTTTTATAACCTCTAGATAGTGCTCCATCATCATCAGCCTGTCACTTCTCTTGACTCTAGGTTGAGTCCCTGTGATAGGGACTTGTGATTTACTTGTACGATGCTTCTCTGATGGATTGTAGACTCCATAAGGACAGGAGTTTTGTCTTACTTTTCACTGTAGTCCAGGTGTTGGCACATGGTGTGAATGAGCGGATAACTACTTGTAGTTGTGCTCTGATACATACATTCACCAGCTTTACCTAGCCCATTGCAGTAACTTTTTCCTCTTTAGCCTGATGATGTAATGGATTACATTAGTTGATTTTTGAATATGGAAGCAACTTTCATACCTGGAATAAATCCTGCTTGTTTGTGGTATATAGTTCTTTTTAGATGTGGTTGGATTTGATTTGATCATATTTTGAGGATTTTTACATTTGTGTTCATGAGAAATATTAGTCTATAGTTTTCTTGATGTCTTTGTCTGTTTTTGGTATTAGGGTAATGCTGGTCTCATAGAATAAATTAGCAAGTATTCCCTCTGCTTATATCTTCTGGAAGAGATTGTAGAGAACTGATGTAATTTCTTCCTTAAATGTTTGGTAGAATTCACCAGTGAACTGCTTTGGGTCTGGTGCTTTCTGTTTTGGAAAGTTATTGTTGATTTGATTTCTCCTATAAATATAGGTCTCTTCAGATTATCTGATTCTTCTTGTGTGAGTTTTGACAGATTGTGTCTTCCAAGGAATTGGTCTATTTTGATAAAGTTGTCAAATTTGTGGGAACAAAGTTCATAGTATTGTTTTATTATCCTTTTAATGTCCAGGGGTTTATAGTGATGTCCTCTCTTTGATTTCTGATATTAGTAATTTGTGTTTTCTCTTTTTTTCTTTTTTTCTTGTCTTAAGACAGTAATTTAAAAAAATTACTGTCTTAACAATTCCCTTTTTTTTGGTGTATCATTTACTAAGTTAAATTATATAGGGTTTTTTGGGGTCTGTAATTGATGTACATTTGATTTTAAAAAGACACTGTCTTATATCAGGACAAAGCAGATTTACATACAACTATCAGCAGAAAAAATTTCTGTGTGATCTGAACAGAGGTACTCTTTTCTTTGATCATAAGAAAATGCAGTACTTTTAGAAGGTAAAGCTATTAAGATTACAGAAGTTTTACCAAAATGCTTTAAGCAAAAACTCTTTTAAGAAAAAGGTATGAGTTCTCATTTTCTATTCTTAGCATAAATTTTAATACTTTCTAATAGAACCTAACTCTTCTGAATGCCTTTCAGCATCATCCAAAGCTTGAACTTCTATTTCTGGATTAAAAATTCATTCACAAATGAGCTGTGCAATACGATCACTTTTTCTGACTTTAAACTTTTTTTTGCCAAAATTAAACAGTACAGCACCAACATTTCCTCAGTAATCTTCATCTATCAATAAAGTGTTTTGCAGCTAATCCAAACCATGGAGCTACTCTTCTGTAACATCCAGAAGGAAGAGCTATCTGAATGTCCATTTTCCCTAGAGCTTTCTCCATAGGTGGTATTGTATCATCATAGGCACCGTTGAGGTCATAGCCTGTGGCCTGTGTGGATCCCTGAGTCAGGGTTGTGGCCTGCTCAGAGAATGGGGCAAAACGGAGCTGCATGCTGCCTTCCTCTGCAAACCAGCCTGTTTGCTGGGGGTAACGGTGGGTGTCTCTTCAGAGCAGGGCATGGCAGAGTGAAAATGCGAGCAGAGGAGAGAGCAACAATTTTTAAGTGTCCATTTTAGTAGTGCAAACTATATTGACATTGTTGTACAACAGATCTCTAGAACTTTTTCATCTTGCAAAACTGAAACTGAAACTCATGTTCGAACAACTCTGCATTTCCCCCTGCCCAGTGGTAGAGGCTTGCTTATTTTATTGATATTTTCAAAGAAACAGCTTTTGATTTTCTTGATTTTTTTCCCTCTATTTCCTATTTTCAGTTTCATTTATTTCTGCTCTAATTTTTATAATTTTTTTCTGCTTGTTTCGGATTTAATTTGCTCTTCTTTTTCTACTTTCCTAAAGTGGAAGCGTATTCATTTTAGATTTTTTGTTTCTAATATATGCATTCATACTATAAATTTTCCTCTAAGCACTGCATTAGCTACATTGCATAGATTTTGATAGTTGTATTTTTATTTTCATTTAGTTCAATATATTTTAAAATTTCTGTTAAGATTTCTTCTTTGGACTGGGTGTGGTGCCTCACGCCTATAATCTCAGCACTTTGGGAGGCTAAAGTGGCGGATTACTTGAGCTCAGGAGTTTGAGACTAGCTTGGGCAACATGACAAAACCCCATCTCTACTAAAAATACAAAAATTAGCCGGGCATGGTGGCATGCACCTGTAATCCCAGCTATGTGGGAGGCTGAGGCATAAGAATCACTTGAACTCCAGAGGCAGAGGTTGCAGTGAGCCAAGATTGTGCCACTGCACTCCAGCCTGGGTGACAGAGTGAAACTCTGTCTTTAAAAAAAAAAAAAAAAAAAAAAATTCTTTGAACCATTATTGTTTAGAAGTGTGTTGTTTAATATCCAAGTATTTTGAGATATTTTCTAGCTACCATTCTGTTATTAGTTGTAGTTTAATTCTGTTGTGGTCTTAGAGCAGACGCCATATGATTGCTATTCTCTTAAGTTTGTTAGATTGTATTTTATGGCCCAGAATGTTGTCCACCTTGGTGAAATGTTACGTGCGAGCTTGAAAAGAATGTGCATTCTGTTTTTGTTGGATGAGGTAGTCTATAGATTGCAATAGACTGGCATTTTTATTGGACTGACAGTAGCCTGCGCCTTCTCCAGTGTATCTTTCAGATAGTTTCTACAGTGATCTTTCCAAACGAGATGTATACATGTCATTCCCTTACTGAAACTTCCCCAGTGGTTCCTCATTACTAAACAGCTAAAATGTACTTTTTTGCATGGGCGGAAATAGCCGTCATAATCCCGTCCCTTATCCAACTTTTTTTTTTAACTGTAGTTCAGCCCCTTTCGCCACCATTTTATGCTTTAAGCATATCAAATTAATTTAGTTGCCTAGGTCCACTATGGGTTTTTTCTGTTACTTTTGTTCATGTCGTATATGCCTATAATATTATTTATTTGGCAATTTACTGTTACTCATGTTTCACCTTAAAAGATGTCTCTTTCTTGTGATTTTTCATTATGGTAACTATAATAACTTTGCATTTCTTTGCTTGCAAGACTGTCTTGTCATTATATTTTAAGGTATTTTTTTCTGTATCCTGCCTTTAAATTTTGTGTTCTCAATACCTGGGTTATAGTAGGCAATCAGATTTTTTTTGAGTGAAAATATACATTCTGTTTTTAATTGAGGAAAAGTTTAAAGTGAAATGTTCAGATTCTGAGTTTGTAGTTCAGAGTTTTGACAACTGCATAAACTTGTATAATCCATAATCCATCAAGATACCAAATGTTTTAGTAATCCTGGGAAGTTTTTTTGTAATTCTTCCCAGTCAATTCCTCCACAACAGTTGTTCTGATATTTTTTCTTCATAGATTGTCATTGTCCTTGATGAGAACCTCATGTAAATGGAGTTACATGTAACTCTTGTGTCTGGCTGCTTTTGCACAACATGTTTTGGGATTCATCCATGTTGGTTGAATGTATCAACAGTTCATTCTTTTTCCCTATTGATTAATGTTTAGTCATTTTAATTAATATCAAAATTTGTTTATTCATCCTCCTTTTTGTGGTTACTTGTGTTGTCTCTTGCTTTCAATTACTATGAATAAAGTGGTTAGGAAAATTGTTGTACAAGTCTTTTTTCATTTCTCTTGGTACGTGTTTGTGTAAGTCTTATTTCTTGTGGGTTTTCATTGATGGACCTAGTGTCTGTCTTTAAATCAGTGTCACACTGTTTTGATTGCTGTATCTTTTATAGTAAATCTTGAAATCAAATTGTGTATGTCCTCCAATTTTGTTGTTCTTTTGTAATACTGTAGTGACTATGTTAGGTCCTTTGCATTTTCATATAAAGTATGGAATCCACCTTTTAGGTTTTTGTTTTTTTTTTTTTTATAGAAAAGTCAACTGATTCTGATTGAGATTGCATTGATTCTGTATATTGACTTGACTGACAAACCAACATCTAAACAATAATGGCTCCCAGTCCATGAATGTAGTACACCTTTACTTTTATTTAGGTTTTCTTTATTTCAGCATTGTTCTGTAGTTTTCAGTGTAAAGTTATTGGGCACATTTTGTTAATTTTATCCTTAAGTATTTCATGGTTTTGGTTGGATGCTATCATAAATGGTATGTTTTAAAATGTCAAATTCTAATTGTTACTTTCTAGAATATAGAAATGCAGTTGATTCTTTTTATATTGACTATGTATTCTGTGACTTTGTTATCTTTACTGATTAGTTATAGTAGTTATGTTGTAGATTCCTTAGGTTTCTTCACTATTGTATTGTCCATATGTTTTACTTACTTTCCAATCTGTATCTCTTTTATTTCTTTTTCTTATTGCACTGTCTGGGGCCTACAAAACAATGATGAATAGAAGCGATGCAAGTAGACATGTTTGCTTTGTTCCAGATCTTAAGGGGACTGCATTTACTCTTTCATCATTAAGAATTATGTTAGGGGCCGGGTGCAGTGGCTAATGCCTGTAATCTCAGCACTTTAGGGGGCCGAGGCAGGCAAGGGATTGCTTGAGTTAAGAACTTCAAGACCAGCCTGCACAACATGGGGAAACCCCATCTCTGCCAAAAAAAAAAAAAAAAAAAATTATCTGGGCATGGTGGTGTGCACCTGTAGTCTCAGCTGCTTGGGAGGCTGAATTGGGAGGATCACCTGAGTCCAGGAGGCAGAGGTTGCAGTGAGCCAAGATCACACCATTGTACTCCAGCCTGGGTGACAGAGTGAGACTGTTTCAAAAAAAAGAATTAGGTGTAGGTTTTTCATAGATTACTTTTATTAGGTTGAAGTGTTCTTCCTAGTTTGCTGAGACTTTGTTTAAAAAACGTGAGTGGTTTGGGAGGCCGAAGCGGGCGGATCACGAGGTCAGGAGATTGAGACAATCCTGGCTAACAAGGTGAAACCCCGTCTCAACTAAAAAAATACAAAAAATTAGCCGGGCGTGGTAGCAAGCGCCTGTGGTCCCAGCTACTCGGAGGCTGAGGCAGGAGAATGGCGTGAATGCGGGAGGCGGAGCTTGCAGTGAGCTGAGATCGCGCCACTGCACTCCAGCCTGGGCGACAGAGCGAGACTCCGTCTCAAAAAAAAAAAAAACATGAATGGATATTTAACTTCATCAAGTACTTCTTCTGCATCGATTGAAATGATCATATGAATATCCTGTCATTATTCTCTTAATATGGTGAATTATGCTGATTTTCAAATATTAAACAGCTCTTGCGTTCCTGGGATAAATCACACTTGGTCATGATGTATCGTCCTTTTTTCTTGTTGAATTCAGTTTGCTAATTTAAACATTTGTATGTTTATGAGAGATATTAGTCCATGGTTTTCTTTTTTTTTTTTTGGAATAGCTATGTCGTTTTTAGGTATATTGGCCTCATTGTAAATGGGTTAGGAAGTGTTTCCTTCTCTGTTTTCTGAAAGAGTTTGTGTAAGATTGATATTTTTATCATACATATTTGATAGGCTTTACCAGTAAAGCTAATCTAGAGTTGAGTTTTCTTTGTGGGAAGGGTTTTTTGTTGTTCTTTGGAGACAAGGTCTTGCTCTGTTGCCCAGGCTGGAGTGCAGAGTGCAGGGTCACAGTCACAGCTCACTGTAATCTCAACCTCTTAGGCTTAAATGATCCTCCCACCTCAGCTTCCCAAGTAGTTGGGACTATACACACATGTCATCACATCAGGCTAATTAGAAAAAATTTTTTTTGTAGAGACAGGGTCTCACTATGTTGTCCAGACTTGTCTTGAACTCCTGGGCTCAAGTGGCCTCCCACCTCAGCCTGTGGGAAGGTTTTAAATTACAAATTTTATTTAAAAAAACATAAGTAGGCTATTCATACTAAACATTTTTTCTTGAATAAGTTTTGGTAAATTGTGTTTTCTTAATTGTTTAATTGACCAAAGTTCTATTAATATTTTCTTTTGTTGTTTTAAGGATCAATGGTGATTTCTTTTTTCTCATTCCTGATATTGGTATAATAATTTTTCTTTTTCTTAATTAGACTGGGTAGAGATTTACTTGTTTTCATTGTCTGTTCAAATAGTGAAGTTTCGGTTTTATCGATTTTCACTATTCACTTTAACTTTTGTTCATTTTTACTTTTTATTATTTCTTTCTACTACTTTGGTTTTCATTTGCTCTTCTTATCTTAGCTTTTTAAAGTAGAAAGTTTGGTGACTGATTTTAGATATTCATTTTTGACCTAAACATGTGAAGCTCCAAACTTTTTTCTCAGCATAGCTTTTGATATATTTTTTCATTTT
Source organism: Homo sapiens (assembly GCF_000001405.40). Lineage (NCBI taxonomy): Eukaryota > Metazoa > Chordata > Mammalia > Primates > Hominidae > Homo > Homo sapiens. The sequence goes on along the minus strand of NC_000003.12, from coordinate 125,306,135 downwards.
AATTCAATTAAAGATACTTCTAACTTCCTTTATTTCTTTTTGATTCATGAGTTAATTAGAAGTGTTTTGCTTAATTTCTGAATATTTTGAAGTTTTCCAGATATCTTTTCATCATTAATATCTAGTAAGTGTGGTTAGAAAATATATGCTGTATGATTTCTGCCCTTTTAAATTTATTGAGACTTGTTTCAGTGCTTGGCATATGATCTGTTTGGTGAGTGTTCTATGTGTACTTGAAAAGAATGTGTATTCTGGCTATTGTTGGTTGGATTATTTTATAAATGTCAGTTAGGTCAAGTTGTTTAGTTGTATTCACTTTTTCTTTTTTTCTTTTTTTTTTTTTTGCCCGTGCTGGTGTGCAGTGGTGTGATCATGGCTTAATGTAGCCTTCACCTCCTGAGCTCAAGTAATCCTCACAACTCAGTCTCCTGAGCTACCTGGTCTACAGGCACACACCACCATGCCAGGCTTATTTTAAAATTTTTTTGTAGAGACAGAGTCTCACTATGTTGCCCAGGCTAGTCTCACACTCCTGGGTTCGAGCGATCCTCCTGCTTTCACCTCCCAAAGTACTGGGATTACAGGTGTGAGCCACAACGCCCGGCCACTAATTGTATTCTTTAACTCTTTTATGTACTCACTGAACTACATGTTCTGTTAGTTACTGGGAGAGAGCTGCTAAAGTCCAGCAGTTAAAGTTTGTTAGCCAAAAGACTCAGTTCAAAATTACATGTTGAATTTAATTGTCATGTTCTTCAGTTTTTGTTAGTCTGGGTTAATTCATCACTTTTGGAATTTATATTTTACATTTATTTAGTAGAATGTCCCTCAGGCCTTACCTGATTTTTTTTCCTCCTTAGGATATTTAAGTTAAGCATCTTTGGCAGGAATATTGTACAAATAATGCTGTGTTTTCTCGCCATTGCATTCTGACAGGCAGCACCTGAGTTTTATTTGCCGTCATTCAGATGATGGTTCACTTTGATCAATTGATACCTTCCAGGCTTTGCTGCTATAAAGTTATTCCTTATCACACTTTATTTATCAATATGGAATTAGGGTTTTTAAAAATTTGCTGGGTTAAAATCTATTACTGTGATTATTTTAATACTCAGTTTGTTTAAGATTTGGCTAACAGAAGCCTTTTCAAGCAGGTTTTATGTTCTTGGACATATCTCGTCAGTCGTTGAGTACTTCTTTGCTTTTTGGCACATTATGTTCTAGGCTTATCTTGTCCTTTTTCTGCTTTAGTTCTGGAGTCAGCCATTTCTCCAAGGACCCCCTAGTTCATTTTAGTGGAGAATGGTATTTAGAAGCCAAGGTCTGGGTGCTGAACATGCTGCTCCTTGCAGTTGGGATATAGCTGCTCCTAGGCCTCTCAATGGACAGAGCTAGAGAATGTATGTATGTATATAATGATGTACATTTACATATAGTGCACATATTCCTTTCTATAATTTCCATATCTATCAATATTGAAAACCATGAGTTCCTACTGCTACCTCCCATTACAAGTCCAGCAGAGTACATTAGACGGTGAGAAACCTGGCTTGTTATCTCAGCATATTTACTTATTTTCTTATTATCCTAACCCCTAATGCAGATGCTCCTAGGCTTGTAAGCCTCACAGGAGTACTTGCTACCCCTGCCCTGCGTGGATACCTTTCTCCTCCTACATGTGCTTTGACAACTTGAACTAGACCTTAGCACCAAGCAGACCCCCTCCTTATGGCACTCTTACTTAGATACATTGCACTGGTCTACATCCACTCTTTGATACTTTCTTCACCCCACTTAGCTTTTGACATGGTGGTCCAGGCTGCCCTTTTCCCACAATCTAGACTCTTCCTTATGCTGCTTGGGCTCCAGCACCTCATGCTGAGCTGCCCCTCTATATGGAGAACCACCTCACCCTGCTTGGTCTTTGACATCTTATATTGGGCCATCCTCCCATGTAGAAGCCCTCTTCCTTCTGTCTGGTATCTGACACCTTGTTTGGCCCCAGCTTATGGCTTTAGACCTGACTGGTTCCTGGAGGATAAGAGGATAGGCAAGAGCAGGAAGGGGAAAAGGACAAAAATCTATCCTTTTACTTAAAAATTTTTTTATTTTAAAATTATATAGATTTATGGAAGGTGGCAAAAATGGTACAGAGAAGACCCCCTCCATCCCTCATCCAATTTCTCCCAGTTGTTACATTTTATATAAATACACTGCAATGTCAAAATCAAGAAATTCACATTGCGACAGTGTATCCCATGTTGAGTACTTTATGCAGCAACCCCTAACCGTTTTTGGCACCAGGGACCAGTTTTGTGGAAGACAGTTTTTCCACGAATGGGGTGGGGGTGGAGATGGTTTCAGGATGATTCAAAAGCATTACATGTATTGTGCACTTTATTTCTATTATTATTATATTATAATATATAATGAAGTAATTATACAACTCACCATAATGTAGAGTCAGTAGGAGCCCTGGGCTTGTTTTCCTGCAACTAGACCATCCCATGTGGGAGTGATGGGAGACAGTGACAGATCATCAATTAGGCATTAGGTTCTCATAAGGAGCAGGGAACCTAGATCCCTTGCATGTGCAGTTCACAATAGGGTTTGAGCTCCTATGAGAATTTAATGCTGTCGGTGACCTAACAGGAGGCAGAGCTCAGGCATTAATGCAAGCAGTGGGGACAGTGTGTAAATACAGATGAAGCTTTGCTTGCTCACTGGCCGCTCACCTCCTGATGTGCAGCCGGGTTCCTAACAGGTCACGGCTTGGTGCTGGTCCACGGCCTGGGAGTTGGGGACCCTTGCAGCATGTGTAGATTTGTGTAACCACCAAAGCAATCAAGATTCAGAACTAAGCCAGGATAACAAAGATCTCTCTGGTGCTACCCCCTATAGTCACACCTCTTCTCTTCCTTCCATCATTCCTAACCCCTGAATATCCTTAATCTGTTGTTTATTTCTAGAACTGTGTCATTTTTGAGAATGTTGTATCAATGGAATCCTACAGGATGTGACCTTTTGGAATTGACTATTTTTTTCACTCAACGTAATGCTCTTGAGAGTCGTCCAGGTTGTTGCATGTATCAGTAATTTCTTACTGTTTGTTTTGTAGTAGTGTTGCATAGCACCAATGTACCGCAGTTTACCATTCACTTATTGAGGGACATTTTAGTTGTCTCCAGGTTTTGGTTATTAAAAATAAAGCTGCTATTAACATTTGTGTGCAGGTTTTTCTGTGAATATAGGTATTCATCTCTAGAATAAATACCCTACCATACCCCTATCACCCAGATACAGTCACTCATAACATTTTAATGTATGTGCTTTATGCTTTTTTGATAAGCATGCCATACATAAGATCATATTGCTTTTTATGTAGTCTTTTCACTTAACAGTATATTTTGAATTTTTCTCAATTGTGTGTTCTTCTAAAACAACTTCAGTGTCTGCTTGATAATTCCATTTTTATGGTAACCCATAATTCAGTCCTTTTATTCCTAATAGATAATGATAAATTTGAGTCCATTCTGAAAATGAATCAATGAAAAGCTGTATTATGCGATATACCAGATGGGCAGAATTTGCAAAGTGTTTGCATAACATTGGTTTATAGTAGAACATAAGAGACATGAGAAATTCTATCCCTTACTTCTTACTTATGGGTTCCTGTTGATAAGGCAGGGAGGTAAAGGGCAGGTCTGGGTTTCATTAATGTACTTTTTTTTTCTTTTCTTTTTTTCTTTTTTTTTTTTGAGACAGGGTCTTGTTCTGTCACCCAGGCTGGAGTGCAGTGGCATGATCATGGTTCATGGCAGACTTGATCTCTTTGGGTCAAGTGATCCTCTCACTGTTGCCTCCAAAGTTGCTGGCACCACAGTTGTGTGCCACCTTGCCTGGCTAATGTTCACAATTTTTTTCAGAGATGGGATCTCAGTATGTTGTCCAGACTGCTCTTGAACTCCTGGGCTCAAGCGATCCTCCCACCTTGGCCTCCCAAAGTGCTGGGATTACTGGTGTGAGCCACCACAACTGGCCATGAATGTACTTTTATTTATTTATTTTTTTGAGATGGAGTCTCGCCCTGTCACCCAGGCTGGAGTGCAGTGGCATGGTCTTGGCTCAGTGCAACCTCCACCTCCTGGGTTCAAGCATTTCTCCCTGCCTCAGCCTCCCAAGTAACTGGGATTCCAGATGCCCGCCACCATGCCTGGCTAATTTTTGTATTTTTAATAGAGACAGTGTTTCACCATGTTGGCCAGGCTGGTCTTGAACTCCTGACCTCAGGTGATCCACCCACCTCGGCCTCCCAGAGTGGTGGGATTATAGGTGTGAGCCACTGCGCCTGGCCGAATGTACATTTTTGAATTGAAGAGAGAACATTGATCTAGAATAGTATGATACAGGTCCCCAAAACTGTAGAAACTTAACAGTCCTTTACTCAAGTGTTTTTCTAGATTGTGCTAAATAAAGCCTTTTAAAAATTGATATTGAGCATGTTAATGATTTTCTTCTTTGATTTGCTCATTCATGTGGAAGGTACAAAGAACTTTATGTTAACTTATTTTGGTTAGTTCAAAGCAAAAAAATGAGTTTTTAGTGTTTTAAAATTATTTAAGTTCTGTAGCCTATGTAAACTCGCTAGTGTTTGGTGACATTTGAAGTATAAGTCATCATGTGTGATAACTGCCAATTTTCAGGATTTATTTTGGCTCTCTAAGTCACTCAGATTTAGCTCAATGGCACTATGTTTTCAACAGCAAAATATAGGCCAGCTGTTTCTTATTTTAATAAATTTTATTAATAGTGATGGGGTCTCGCTGTGTTACCCAGGCTGGTCTCAAACTCCTGGCCTCAAAAGTGATCCTGCTGGGATTACAGGCATGAGCTGCCATACCTGGCCTAGGCCAACTTTTGAACGTCTACATCTTTCTCATTAGAACTTTGTTTTTTAATATTTTAGACATTTAAATTAGATTTTAATAAAATTAATTTTTCAGTTCCTTGGTCACACTAGTCACATTTCAAGTGTTCAGTAGTCACATGTAGCTAATGGCTTCTGTATTGGATAGCATAAAGGATATTTTCATCATTTCAAAATATTTTATTAGATAGCACTATATTAGAAAGCCTCTCAACTCAGAAACAAAATTTATTTCAGCAATTAAAAAAACTATTTGGCTTATCCATTTTACACTTATCAGACCCATTCAGGAGGATTTAGCAAATCATAAATTTTTATGGTCTTTATTTTTTCAGTTTGGTGGCAAGCATGTTAAGAGGAAGGACTTATGTTCTGTATTAGCAAAACAGAGCAAATTGTAATTCACAGTGATGTATGCTGCATTCATCTTCTAGAAAACTATTGCTTTGTATCACTTGAGTGAAAAGATTTTATAAAGTAGGAACTATCTAAAAAATCATGCTCTAGTCACATAATGATGTAATAAAATATGAAATATTTCAGGCATGTGTAATTCCTTAAAAAATGCTTTAGCATTCATGTAACATTGTTAGTCATGAATTTTTGTGCTATAAAGCAGCATGTGTAAAATTGCAGGCATACTGTTACGCATTTTCGTGTTTATGATTAATTCATTTAATGACCCAGGAAACTCAAAACATATTTGGCCATTGGTATAAGACCTCTGTTTTGGTTTTTAGTTTTTAAATTTCCTTGAATCCTATCGTTAGTTATACCCAATTCTTAATTACCATTGCATTTCTTTTAAAGTTTATTTGAGGGATTCAGTAGTAGTTTTGGTTTTTGCACTGGCTGTTGGGTCCTTACCTTTTGAAGTGATTGCATTGTCTTTTATTGGGGATATATGTTTCAAGAGGTGCTTCAAAAAATACATTCAGGCCAGGCATGGTGGCTCTCACCTCTAATCTCAGCACTTTGGGAGGCTGAGGTGGGCACATCATTTGAGGTCAGGAGTTCAAGTCCAGCCTGGCCAACATGGTGAAACCCTGTCTCTACTAAAAATACAAAAATTAGGCAGGCATGGTGGTGGGCGCCTGTAATCCCAGCTACTCAGGAGGCTGAGGCACGAGAATTGCTTGAACCTGGGAGGTGGAGGTTGCAGTGAGCCGAGATGGCACCACTGCCCTCCAGCTTGGGTGACAGAGTGGGACCCTGCCTCAGAAACAACAACAACAAAACAAACATTCAAATCCTTTTTACGTCAGCGTATTATTTGAATATCATTTTCACAAGTAGTTTAATTGAGCTTGTTTTAAGGAGAATAGATGGTAACTAACTTCAACTCTAGTTTTTTCACAAGATTTTACTCTCATACCACATGGCTCTTTAAAAAAGTGTATTATCTAACAGCAATCATTATTTGGGCAGAAAGCATGGACTGAGTGCTATTCCTTTCCTGGTGAGAGTCGTGTTTATTGCTTATTATTAATGATTTCAACTCAACAGGCAAGTAGATGAATCAGATTATCTCTTCCAGTAGATTGTTTTAGGGAGTTGACCCAACATGGTCTATTTTTCAGTATCCTCACTTGTTCTTAAGGTTGTTTGACCCAGTTTATATCCTTTTTTTCCCCCTTAAGTAGACATGAATTGTTGGTAGAAGATTTCTTTATAGATGACTTTATTATTTTTATTTTTAAATTTTTTACAGAGATGGAAACTTGCTAGGTTGCCCAGGCTGGCCTTGAACTCCTGGCTTCAAGCCAGTCTTTTGCCTCAGCCTCTCAAAGTGTTGGGATTACAGGTGTAAGTCACCACAGCCGGTTTCCAGCTGACTTTAATAACATAACCAGTCTCCTAACACTCTTAATATAGTTCTGTCTGACCTTTGATGTCTAATTGCTTCATCTGGAATTGTGAGACAGTGGTACTGAAGGAGAGTTATGCTCTTAAACTAGTAGTACACCAACTGGAAATCATTTAGGACAGGGTATGTAGAGTCAGCCTAGCTACATCAGTTTCAGAGAGGTCTACTTTGGTGTTTTTATATTTGCATTTTATTATAAAAGGACTACATAGTCATTGTAAATATTAAAACAAGGTAGAAGAAATAATAAAGTGAAAAGTAAAATTTCCTTCTTTCCAATGTCTGTCTACTACTCTAATTCCAAAGAAATAGCTACTAATATTGATACCTTTCTGGAAGTTTTACATTTATAAAGAAACATATTGTGTGCATGCATTTATGTCTAATACATTTTGGATATATAATACATACATTTGGCTGGGTGCAGTGGCTCACGCCTGTAATCCCAGCACTTTGGGAGGCCGAGGCGGACGGATCACGAGGTCAGGAGATTGAGACCATCCTGGCTAACATGGTGAAACCCTGTCTCTACTAAAAATACAAAAAAAAATTAGCTGGGCATGGTGGCACGCGCCTGTAGTCCCAGCTACTTGGGAGGCTGAGGCAGGAGAATGGCATGAACCTGGGAGGTGGGGCTTGCAGTGAGCTGAGATCACGCCACTGCACTCCAGCCTGGGCGACAGAGTGAGACTCTGTCTCAAAAAAAAAAAAAAAAAAAAAAAATTTAATATAAATGTACAATATTTTGTTTTATTACATAAATTGGATAATGCTATTTGTATGCATTTGAAATTTACATTATTCATTTAATGACGCATCTTGTGGAGATTTCCATGTTATTGCATGTAAAACTGCCCTATTTTAATGAGTGATTAAAGGATATGCCATAATTTATTTAATCACATTCCTCTGTTGATTGACATTTGTTATTACTGGGTTTGTTTGAATGAAATAATTGGAAAGGAGCATGTGTGTGTGTGTGTGTGTGTGTGTGTATGCACATTTATAACATTGCTCTAGGTATATGTCTTTTTATTGAAATGTAACATTTATACAGAAAAGCGCACAAATCATAAGAGTACATCTTGATTAAATTTCTCTGAAGTGAACATCTCGTGTAACTGCTATCAAGATCAAGATATAGAATCCCTTTTGGTCACAGCACTCCTCTAGTTCCTAAAGATTACTACTACCCCAACACTTTTGTCATAGTCTATTAGTTTTACCTGACTTTGAATTCGAAATAAGCAGAATCATAGGCACTATATACTAGGTATCTGGTTTCTTTATTTTCATTGTTTATGAGATATACCCATGTTATTGCATGTAATTTCTGTAGAATCATCAGTTGGGTGAATTTCATTTATTCTAGTCTAATAGTCATTTAGATTGTTTCTAGATGTTTGGTATTAAGTGCTGCTGTGAATATTCTTGGATGTCACTTGTGTGTGTATGTACTCATTTCTGTTGGTTATATACTTAGAATTGAATTTACTGGATATGCCTATGTTCAGCTTTAGTACATACTGACAGAAGTTTTTTAAATTGGTTTTGCCAATTTATAATAATTGCTCTATATCCTTGCTATTTGATCTTGTCAGTCCTTTTAAGTTTAGCTGTTTTGGTGGTATGATAGTGGAATTGCAATATGACTTAATGTTTCATTTCACTAGTAACTAATGAAATTGATTATCTTTTCATGTTTATTGACAATTTAAATATTATTTTTTAGTAAGGTAGATGTTCATCTTTTGCTTAATTTTCTAGTAGGTTGTTTCTTTCTCTTACAGATTTGTAGTAGTTCTTTATCCACTGGTTGGATGCATGTATTGCAGTGATCATTTCTGACTCTGGTGGGTCTTTTTACTTTTTTGGTAAACAGGAGTTAATAAGGTTCGATTTATTGTATAAGTCTTTTCCTTTTGGTATTTTTTGTGTCCTTCTTAAGAAATTTTTGCCTGTCCCAACATTGTGAAGATATTTTCCTTTTTTAACTTTTGGAGGCTTTATGGTTTTCCGTTCCCATTTAGATCAGTAATCCACTGGGAATTGATTTTTGCTGGTGATGTGAATTGTGGAGATTAAGATTTAGTTGATAGTTCTGGTTTCTTTCTCAAACTTACCCATAGAGATTTCCTTTCACTTTACTTTGCTGGGTTAGTGTTTCAGTTTTTAGAACAACTTAGTATATTAAGATAATAATATTTTTTTTAATTAATGGTAAGGATTTGTGCTAGGACTAGATTTAATATCTTTTTAAGATTGAAAAATGTATAAATTTTAAAACTATAAAGAAAATAAAAATTGTTATAATCTTACTACTTTAGGAAAACTGCTCTTGACATACCATTGCTAACATTTTAATGTTTCTTTTTTTGTTTTTTTTTCTATGTAGGTAGTTGGTGTGTTTGCATAAAATTTGCTGTGTCTATATTTGTGTTTGTATAAAATTGTGAAAATGTATTTATCTACATGCCTATTTATATTTATTACTTTACCTTAAACCATGAGCATTTCATCTTGGTCATTAAAAGTCAGATTTCTAATATTTGTATAATGCCATATAGCTGTATTATAATTTATCTCCCTATTTCTTTATTATTGGGTATTAGACATTTGCACCCTTTTCTTACTGTTATAAATAATACTGTGGTGTTGTATATGTGCTTTTTTGTCATGAGAAAGTATTTCCTCAGTATAGGTCTCTTAAGGCTTTTATTGTATATTGGCCAAATTGTAGTCTACAAAAGATGACCCTCTAGTAGTGTATGAGAGTCCCAACTTAGTATCATTATAAATAATCTAAAGAAGGAAATATGAAGTATAATTTCTAGATTTGTATATTATATTTAGGAAGAACAGCAACAACTGGACTTTGTCCTGGGTGGAAGGTAGAAAAGAAAACTAAAAAATAGCATTGGCTGGGCATGGTGGCTCACGCCTGTAATCCCAGCACTTTGGGAGGCCGAGGCGGGTGGATCTCTTGAGACCAGGAATTTGAGACCAGCTTGGCCAACATGGCCAACCCTGTCTCTACTAAAAATACAAAATAATTAGCTGGGCGTGGTGGTACATGTCTGTAGTCCCAGCTACTCCAAAGGCTGAGGCATGAGAATTGCTTGAACTTGGGAGGCGGAGGTTGCAGTGAGGCGAGATTGCACCACTGCACTCCAGTCTGGGTGATAGAGCGAGACTCTGTCTTAAAAAAAAAAAAAAAGAATCTTTAGATAGGATACTGGGATGATATATTGAAAGGCAGGGAATTTAGAAGGAGGATCTAACGTGAAAGGAAAGATTTTTTTTTTTGGCATATTGAGTTTTAGATATCAAGATGTCTACGTAGAGATATTTTATAGAAATTGCTAATCCTTTGTGTATCCAAGCAGTTACACACCTATTAATTGTATGATAATTAATAACTGTATATTCGTTTAGTGCTTTAAGGTGTTCAAGGTGCTTTTCATGTAATCTCTTTTGATTTTCTGATGTAAGATGGATATTATTACTACTGCCAATTAACAGATGAGTTTATTATGATACTAAGTAGCATCAAGAACTACTTCATACTGCTCTGTACTGTAGTTAGTACTTTACAGAGTTATCTTATTTAACTCTGTAAAAATCCTATGAGATTTTCCCCTCCAGGTTACAGGTGAGCAAAGTTCGGCATGATCCCAATTTTAGTTGTTCAACCTCACACACTGTTAGTATTACTCTTTGAAACTGGATTTTATTTCTTTGAATTCCCAAGCCTGTGCTTTTCTTGTTTTGCCATACTACTTCTGGAAGCCAAGTTCACCTAGCTAATAATTGGAAGAGATAGTATTGAAATCCAAGTCTTCTAATGTTTCATCTAAATATTCTTGGCATTTTGTCTTTTTTTTTTTTTGAGATGGAGTCTCACTCTGTCGCCCAGGCTGGAGTGCAGTGGCACGATCCTGGCTCGCTGCAACCTCTGCCACCTGGGTTCAAGCTATTTTCCTGCCTCAGCCTCCCAAGTAGCTGGGATTACAGGAGTCTGCCACTGTGCCCAGCTAATTTTTGTAGTTTTAGTAGAGACGGGGTTTCACCATCTTGGCCAGCTGGTCTTGAATTTCTGACCTCGTGATCCACCCACCTCGGCCTCCCAAAGTGCTGGGATTACAGGCATGAGCCTCTGTGCCTGGCCAATTTTTTTTTAACATTTTATTTTCCTTTAGTAATAATCACTAGGTGTTCTAAAACCACTAGAAGTTTTTTTCTTATTTTGAAAGCAACCAAACTATAGTTCATATGTGGAAAAATACAGTATGTTTCTATAAAAAGCATTTTTAAATAAGTTTGAATAATTTAGATTTATTGAAAAGCAGTCCTGGACTGAAAGGTATTTGATCTTAAGTCCTAGTTGTACAACTTAATAACTTGGGTAAGACACTTACCTCCCTGAAATTTTAGTTTGTTTATTGGTAACATGAGGATAAGAAAGAATTCACAGATCACAATCATTAGGATCTTAGTCACTGGATTCAGAAGACTTTGGTTTAAATTTTGTCTTTCTGTCTTAATTACTGTGCTTTTAGGCAAGTAACTCAACCTTCCTGGGCCTTAGTTTTCTATTTTTTTAATGAAAATTCTTAACATAGTGTTACTGTAGGATTTAATGCAATAGACTATACAGGCTAGAGACCATGTCTTCCCCATGTATTGTATTAATATCTTCAGCACTTAGGACAGTGCATGGTAGTGAATGTCTGATAAATCTTAGTATATGCTGAGGAGGCAGAATCACAAACTCATAAAAATGCCATGTAAATGCTGAGTATTTTTGTAGTTAGAAAAATCAGAGTCTAGTTTAACTTTTCATTTTGAAATAATTTTATACTTAAAGTTGCAGAAATAGTAGAGTTTGCATGAACTTTTCACACAGCTTCCCCTAATGTTAAAACTTATGTAACCGTATGGTACAGTTGTCAAGACCAAGAATTTAACATTGGTGAAATAGTATTAAACTACAGACCTTGTTTGAATTTTATGTTTCCCTCCAAATACCCTTTTTCTGTTTGAGGATTCAATTCAGGACCCACATTTCATTGAGTTATCCTGTTTTTTTAGCCACCTCCAATCTGTTTCAGTTGAATGCAGACTTTTCCTCATCTTTTATGACCTTTATACTTTGATGAGTGTTGGTCAGTTGTGTTGTAGACTGTTTCTTAATTTGAGCTTCTCTGGTGTTTTCTCATGGTTAGATTGATGCTCTACATTTTTGACTACCCACAGAAGTGATGTTGTGTCCCCCTCAGTGCATCATATCGGGGGCACATAATGTGGATAGGTCTTAAAACTGGTGATAGTAACCTTGATCCTTCTTTACTGTGATTATCTGCCAGGTTTCCCCACTGTAGAGTTACTGTTTTTTTCTTTATAATTGACAGATAATCTTGGAGGAGATACTTTGAGACCGTTTAAATATCCTCTCTCTCAAAATTTTGCCCACTAACTTCAGCATCTATTGGTGGGCCTTGCCTGTAATGGTTATTACCATGATGTTTACCTAATTGTGATTTTTGTCTTTTCCGCATTCCTTCTATATTGATGTTCCTTGTAGCTGTCCCATTTCCTCCATTTATTTGTTGTTTTTACTGTTTCATTTTGTATCTGTGGATATGCATTTTATTCTGTGGGTTATAATCCAGTACTGTTGTTGCTTACGTTCTTGCTCAGATTCCATCTTTGGTCATTAGGAGCTCTTTCAGTCTGGGTCTTATGTCCTTTTGACATCCTCTGATCCTTTTTTGAACACTTTAGCTTCTGACATTATGATTTTCTAGAGTCATCTTATATTTTTCCCCGACCCAGCTCTGGGCTCAACCACTTCTCAGAGAACTCTGGTTCTTTTTTGTTTGGATAATGGCATTTAGAAACTAAGTTCTGGATGCTAGGTGTGTTGGGTGTCGTTGCTTTTCAGTGACCTCAGCAAACAAGCTAGGAAAATACATGTATGTCTACTAACCCACACATGCACACAACATCTATAGTAATTTCTTTATATTGGTAGGGCCCGGGCATCTGTATTAAAAGAGATTGAGTGAAAGAGAGAAAGGGATTGTATAGTTAAGATGTATCTAGATTAGCAGCTCTCAAATGTTCTGGCCGTGGGGTCCCTTTATACTCTTAAAAAATACTGAGGACTCCTCAGAGCTTTTGCTTATGTTGGTTATATGTATCAGTATTTACCATATTCAAAACTAAAGCTGAGAAATTTAAAGTTTTATGTATTAATTTGTCACAATAAAACTTACTACATGTTAGCATGTAACATTTGTAAATAAAAAATAACTGTTTTCCAAAACAAAAAATTTAGTGAGAAGAGGGAAATTGTTTTACATTTTTTTGATATCTCTTTATTATCTGGCTTAATATAACTGGATATAATGCATATCTGTGGTGACATATATTAAGTCTGTGATGATATCACATTTTAATTAGCCTCTGTAAAATGCCACTGTATACTTTTAAGGGAAAGAGAGTTTTAAAAAGCAGCTACTATTGTGAAAGTAGTTTTGATGTCATGAATGACCTGAAAGGGCATAAGGGACCTTCAGGAGTCCCCATGCTATGCTGGCTGTTTCTTGCAAGTTCTAAAACATCTCTTAATTACCCTGACCTTTTTCTCATTTTCAGTCTTTCCTTTTTTATTCTCCCGACTTTAAACATAAAGAGTTAAGAACCACTGATGTAGATTTACTGAAACTGTTACAAAATACAGGCACATATTACTGGAAGGATGGATCCAGAAGAACTGCTATGAAGAAAAGGAGAGAACTTAAATTAGGTGATTTTATGGAACTTGGAAGACTAGAATTTCCAAGTAGGATAGGGATGGTCAGCACTGTTTCAGGTAAGGTAACTTGATTTGATCAGTTCATCTAGTTAATCTTTAATTATGTAAACTATAAGATGCTGATATAGTAACCAGAGTTTACATTTATAGTGAGAAATGTAATAGGGAAATAGATCAGAATGTTTGTTTCCAACTGTGGCTCTCTGAACCTTTTCGAAAATCAAAGGATAGCTGTGGACTTTCCCCTAACAAATGTAGCTCCTTTCAAAATTTTGCATGCGGTCATGGATCAGGCAAACGGGACAGATATAGTTCGTGATTCACACAGGCCTATCCATCAGTGTACTGCTTCACCTCCCTGTCCTGTTCTGTGACTTTGTGAGCTTGGAATTTGAAGTCTTCCTGTTGTCTGGTTACATCAAACTGTTCTTGCAGTTCTATCTTGGAAATATACATGCAAATTAAATTTAAATCTTAAATTTCTCCTTTTCTGGACTCCATGAATACCCCCAAATATTGCTGACATTCGTTAGACAGTACGTTTACAGTACAGTTAATTGTGTTATACCTTTCCTTTTACATTTAAACTAGTTATACTTTTAGTCACCTTGATTTAACTTGGGTGTTTCCTAGGCAATATTTTGGAACAGGTTCCTTCTAGTGATAGTTAAACACATCTTTTTTTATATGGCTGTGTATACTACTTTTACTCTCAGAACAACCATTTCTCTAAATTTGGGCACAGTTATTTTATCTCTGTATGCTGACTACAGATTATTCTTTTAAAATGTTTGGCCAAAAGAAGGAATATAGTAGCTGGAAAAATTTTGGTCCACAAGAACTTACAGGGGAAATTTCAGTGTGCTTTTAAGAAGAGAAGAAGTAGCTAGTAGTGTCAGGGAGACTATAAAATAGATAGTGAAGCAGCAGAGCTATGAAAATGGGTGGGAATGGAATCAGGAGTATAGGGGAAAACAGAAAGACCACCTTCCTTTTACTCTACTGGGTTGGAAGATGAGTGAGAATACCAAAATTTGAAATTGAAAATTGATAGGAACATGTGACTTCAGAAATGGAGAGGAGTGATGGTAAGGTCATATCCTTCTGCCAAGTACCTTAGGTCTTTTCTGTAAAGTGGATCATATAGAATTTTGAAAGCTGAGCTGGGGAGCTGATAATGAATACTATAGGCAACAGTCTGTTGCCAATTCCTCACTGAGGAAATGTTAAGGAAATAGTTTTATATTCATTTATTTGTAGAAGAATACATTGGGAGATGATAATGCTCTAAGTCAGTGAGGTTGGTATGGTTAATTGGAGGGAAGTGGATGTCACTGGGTATGGGTGCAGGATGTTGAGAATGAAGAGAAGAGTCTAAAATGATTCCAAGGAGTCAGTCATCTTGTTTGGAAGGTGGGGAGAGGGGGTAGACCAAAATTTGCAACTGTAGTGAAACATTTATTCATCACATTGTGTCTGGCAACATTATTTTAGGTACAATTTATATTTGTTACATCGCTTATTATCATTATTGAGACTAGGTGAAGTTAAGAAGAGTAGCAGATTTGCAAGAAAAAGTTAAAAGGGGGGATATATGTGCTAAACTTGCAGCTGTCATTGTCTGTTGTTTCATCCCCAAAGCCTGATGCAGTTATTTCACGTTGTCTTTATTTCTCCCTTTGAATTTCTACCCTTATTCTCTGTTCTGTTCAGTTAGAGTATGACACATGTGCTGTCTGTATTAGGTGTTTTTTTGGTAATGCATCAGAACCCTGCACGTACATTTTAAGACCTTTGAAAAGGAAATCTGATATTTAGAATGTGCTTAGTATCTAGAATGGCACTTTGCACATATTACAATCTCAGTAAATGTTTTTGTTATAGTATTTTAGCCTGACAGAGCAGGCACTTAATAGCTGTTGAATGAGAAAATGAATGACAGCTATTATAAGAAATACCAACAAAGAGTATCTTACTTTAAAATATCAAAACAGTATACATGTACATGAAATAGTTAAATATAAAAGTAAGACTTTATTTTGGGGTGAGAAATAAGTCTTGATAAAGCAAGTCATTCTGGAGTTGAGTTAATGATTAGAATCAAAGGAAGAATATTTTCAGTATAGGGAGGACTCTTTAAAGTCAGGAAAATAAAGAGGGAAAGATTGAAAATGAGAAAAAGGGTAATTAAGAGATATTTTAGAACTTGCAAGAAAGAACCGGCATAGGGAGTGGCAAGAGGAGAGGAAGCATGACACTATAGGTCTCTACTTCTGTCTTAACCTGGGGAAGAAGTTAGATGAGTATAGAAGGGAGATATGAAAAGGAAATCATGTCTGACCGCTTCTGTAGTATCAAAGTGGGAAGCCCAGAGGGAGACTGACTCAGTGGATGAGCAGGGGCTTTAGAGTTTTAGGAGAAATGTCTGAGTTTAGTCAAATCTGAAGAAAGAAGGGCAGGTAGAGTGGTGGTGGATGGTGGTGGTGGTGGCATATCTGGACTGGTAATAAGAACAGCATTGAAATTCAGGCCTGCAAATAAGCATGAGGGTACTAATGGGACTAGGTGAAAATCACAGTATTAATATAATCACTTTCCATATATGTGGAAATAACAGGTTCAGATATACGTGTTAATCTTTTTTACTGTTTGCATTTAAAGGCTCTTGGTTGGTTTGTGAATGGCAGTTAACAGCAGAACTTATTTATGAATTTATCTTACACTCTTCTTGACACTTGCTAAAAAGAGTTCCTCTTTTTTGTTGCCACATGCTACATTTCCATGGTTTATTTGGAATTTACACGCTGACAGAAATGTTTGTACTACTTTTTGGTACTCCTTCAAAATAGGGCAGAGAAATTCCACAGCTGCTTACATAGTCTGTTATCTCTTCTTGTCTCATACCCATTCCCAGTTATTGTTTTTCAGTAAATACCACTTCAGAGGTGATAAGAGGTCTGTATTCCCAAGTCTTGTAGGTGGTGATTTTACCATCGTATTTTGTAGTCAAAATAATTGATACCAACGAAGCCAGAAGAGTGGTCACTGTACCCTTCTGTAACTTGGTAGAATTACTAGCTAAATAAATAATCATTTACATCATGTTTTTGTGCCAGGGTTCTTGATTTGTGATTCTCACATGGCCTGCATTTCAGGAATTCATGAGAACTTCCACTTTTTATTTTGTCAGTATGAAATTCCTGGCTTAGGTTGCATTTTTTCTCGTGAACCTCTTCTACATAGCTGTTTTCCACCTTTACACTGAATCTGTAAGATGTTCATCATCTTTTGCACCATGCTTTTTAGTGTGTTTCTTGAAAATGTAGCCATTAGCACATTGTACTTACTGAATTATTCTCAAGGATCTTTACTGTATTTTATAGCCTGAGTTGAAAGTTTCCTAGTTTTAAGGTTCTTGTTTTACTTCAAGGATAGATTGAAAATGTAGCAGTGAGGAGGGGATGACTGAACACCATCAAATCTGATGAGAACTGACGATGGTACTGTTAGTGATCTTAGAACCTTGGTTTTTCTTTTCTTTCTTTAAGGACAAGTAACTCTGAGAATTAAGATCTGAAAATTGAAGAACATTGTTGAAATCTTAATGTTTCTTCTAGTATTTCTCTATTATGTAGTTAGCATCATGTCTTGTACAGTGTAGCAGCCTAAAATTATAATTGCTTCTATAAACACATATTTGGTGATGGTCTGTTGTAGAGCCCAGGAAAGTACTGGCTGAGATCTTGAGTCATATGACAAAACTGTTGAGCATGAAGATAATTAGATTTTCATTGTTAATTTGTCTTTCTTTTGACAAATTATCTTTTAGAATTTGTGTGGTTTACTTGATATTTTATAAATACAGAGCCCATCTAGAAGTCTAAATACCTCTTTTATTCCCTAGTATTGTGTTGAATTTTGGACCTTAACCTTTTTTGTGCGCTTTTAACTTCAGTATCAGTTTCCTTAAATGTGGGAATGAAATTGATGTTACGATTTCCTGACTTCTGCTTGGTCTTATGATCATCTTTTCCCAGGACGTCTTTGATCTTTTTTCTCAGGTAGATTAAAAAAAAAATCTGTTTATCCCTCAATTTATGTACTCTCAATTCTTATTACCCACTGCCTATTAATGAATTCTATAGCACTGTATATAGTTAGGACACACACACATAGATCATCATTCTGGAAGCACCTGTATGTGGGTTTAGCAAAGGATTAAACATAAAATGGCCTTTTGTCACAATGAACTTTTTATTTATGTCTAAAATTGGCTTTTCTTTTTTTAAACAGATAAGCGTAAAGCAGGAAATTACTTTTACTGATGTATCTGAGCAACTGATGAGAGACAAAAAACAAATCAGAGAGCCAGTAGACTTACAGAAAAAGAAGAAGCGGAAACAACGTTCTCCCGCAAAAGTAAGACAATGTATTAAGGTGGTAATCACAACCTCTTAATTCCAACTGTTGGTTAATTCTATAGGCAAGAACCTGGCTGGACCCTAAGGCAGATGTAGAAGTCTTGTGTGGTTTAGTAGGAGGGGGTGCGTGCCTGCATGGAGGTGGTGGGCCTTGCTTTCAATTTTTCTGCTTCTCTTTCACCATGTTCCTGACTTGTCTAAAAGTGAACTTTTCTTTTTCCATATCTCTATCGGATGGCATGCATTGCCCTTTCTTCTCATTTGTATTAGTTTTCCTTATCTTTATATTAAGGTTTCAGGAAAATGTAATACCAGTTATTCATCAGGAAAAGATATAGGATCCCTGTTAATAGGATGTAAACTTCATGAGGGCAGGGACTTCATTTTGTTCACAGCTGTATCCTAAGAGCCTGGAATAGGAGACATAATAGATCCTCAGTAAATATTTTATGGGTTAATGAATGGGTTAGTAAATAAACAAGTAACCCAGGCTGAGTGCAGTGGCATGATCATGGCTCACTGCAGCCTCAGTCTCCCAGTCTCAAGGGATCCTCCTCCCTCAGCCTCCTGAGTAGCTGGGACCACAGGCATGTGCCAACATGCCTGGCTAATTTTTGAATTTCTTACAGAAATGGGGTCTTGCTATGTTGGCCAGGCTAGTCTCAAACTCCTGGTCTCAAGCCGTCCTCCCACTTCAGCCTCCCAAAGTATTAGGATTACAGGCGTGAGCCACCACTCCTGGCCTGTTTTTTTCTCTTTAGTATAGTGATAGCTGAATGTATACAGCATTTTTGGTATTCCTAGAAATTCTCTGAACTCTCTGCAGCATATTTGCATTTTTATAGTTAACTCTTATTTTTTTCTTCCCTCATGTGGTGAGAAAGTCCTTTTTAAAAAGATCATACTGTAATATGATTTTTTTGATGGCTTTTTAAAAATTTGTGATTTGAAATCATAATCATCATTATTATTTATATTTTTGTATACTTTTGGACTTATTAGTGTGTTGGAGCCAGCTTGAGCTGGCTTGCAAGATTTCATTTGCAAATTAGTTGCCAAAACCATTGGTAGCTTATAATTAGCTATGGTGGGAATATTTACACCCTGGAAATCAGCAAATGTTTCTATACCTCCTGATTCCTTAGTTGGTGGTTAAATATTTGCCAGCATACCACTATTTTGGGGACATATAAATATGCCTACAATAGCAAATTTTGAAAAACATAGAGACTAAAATAACCCATAGTTACATTTCCTAGAGATAACTACTTGGATTTTCTGCCATATTCCCTTTCTTTTTTCAAATTTGTGCAGATAGATATGGAGGTATAATATAGAATAAATTAGCTGATTTTTAACACTTGAAATGTAAGCAACTTTTGTGCTTAAAGTTTTTAATGTTTTTTGTAATCATTTATTAGCTACATAATCTATTTCTTAATAGATCATGTTATATTTAATGGTTGTTTTATTGGACATTATTATGTTGTTTGAAAGTTGTAGTCCTTTTGTTTCTGTTTTAAATCATGCTGCACTTAAAATGTTTGAGTATGTATCTTTGTGCACTATTGATCAAAGGGTGTGAACTTTTGGAAAGATTTCTTGATAATGTTACTCTTTTCAGAAATGTTATACCAGTTACACTTCTACCTGCAGTGGACCTGAGGTGTATCTGTCTGCATTCTCACTGGTCTTGAGTGTCTGACTTTGCTTAAGATGGGAGCCTCATTATAGTTTAAATTTGAATTTCTTTAGTTTCTGGTCACACTAAACTTCTAAAATTTTTGTTGGCATTTTATATTTCATGTTTTGTGAAATTCTCCCTTCTTCTTTTCTTCCCTCTCCCTCCACTTCTTTTTTTGGGGCTTTAATGTTTTTCTCAGTAATTTATATCATTTTTGGGGGTTCTTTACATTAATGAACAAATCAAGTTCTTCAGATATAGAATAATACTAGGTTTTATGTAAAAAATTATTTCTAAAATCATTTGTGATAGTGATTGGTTGTTACTTCGGATTCATTGCTGATCTATGGGGTATCTATTTCAAGTGTACTCTCTTCTTGAAATTCTGACTAAAACCCAGATTATCTTCTTATTGGGTGTTGGACTCTGTATTTGGTGATATGTTCTAGGTATTTGTAAATATAGATTAGGTATTTACAGGCTTTAAGCTATTTTGCTTGTCTAATTTGCGATAAACTCATTTATAATGTATCATTTTAGAATATTTCTAAAGGTATTATTTAAGTATTTATATACCTCTGTAGTTGCCAGATGACGGAGTTGTCCTATTCTAAGTATAGTGCGTATAAGAGAATGTTTTAGGGTAGCCCTTTAGAGAATTCTTAGGAAGATGAAGTGACTAGAAACAATATACAGCAGACAGAGGTGTAAGAATAACAAACAGGCCAGGTACAGTGGCTCACACTTGTAATCCTAGCACTTTGGGAGGCTGAGACGGAAGAATTGCTTGACCCCAGGAGTTCAAGACCATCCTGGGCAACATTGTGGAACCCTGTCTCTGGTTTTGTTTTTTTTTTTTTTTAAATAAAGAACAAACAATTATTTTTCAATTGTCCTGGCATGTTACATGTAATGGGACAGGGAATGGTTTTGGACTGTTTTTTAACCACTGGTCTGCCATCTCCAGGTGAATGGGTTTTTTGTGTCTGGAGTCTTAGAACTTTAAGATATAACCAGTGAGTAATTTTACATTTTCTCAGGAGTGTATATAAAAATTTATGCTTCAGAACTTCTGTTAAAATAATTCATTCTGCTCTTTGGTATGAAGAGAAAGAGAAACTTACCCATGTTTGTAAATCAGTAAGTGTTACTTGTTTTAAATTCCTTAAAAACAATTTTAAGTTCCTCAAAGAATTATGATTTATTATGCCTAGAGGACTCCACTCTCCCCCAGCACCTTTTCCAAATCTTAAAATCTTGCCATTGTGAATATTTTGAGTTTGTGTCACCATTGTGTAGTATTAGATTGGGGATCTGCACAAGAAGTATAACTAATGTGATAGAGTTTTAGTAAAAACATCAGAGCTTATAAACATCCATGTAACTATGGCTGCCTTAAAGTACTGTGTTGTTATTCCATCTTTAGCTGCCATGGATTTTAAGCAATAATTGCCTTCTGAACTTTTCTCATATGGCAAAGCTGAGTCTTTTTTTTTTTTTTTTGGAAAACTTAAATGCAATGGGAAAGCCTGATCATCTTAAGGTAGGTTTTGACACTTGAAATTTGCCTAAATACACTTGGCAGCATGCCTGATGAAGAGGGTAACTGAGCTAGGGAACATCATCTAGGTCAAGCTATTTGCATCTGTTGTGGAATTAGCTGTTTTAAGAAAGTAAGTTTTCTACATAATAGAAGCTTACACCTTTTAAATATCAAATTTCATTTTATTTTCACCATTTTTTGGGGGAAATCTTTAAGGTGTTGTTTTCCTTTTAAATCTAGTGTATTTGAACATAATTCAGCTTTTAATGTCTTGAAGCTGACATAAACATTTTTTAAAATTGCGTATTGCAGTTGAAGCCCTCTAGGAGAACAGAGATTTTAGGGCTCTCCCCCATCCACCTGACCCTGCAAATCCACACTGCTAGACTTTAAGTGTTATACTGCTTATAATCACTTCACTTCTCATTCCTTGGTGACGTGCTATTCATTTTTACATTGCTGTATATCTGGGTGGCCACTTAACATCACTTTCCTTTGCCCCTTTGAGTCTGTTTTTGGTGACTGTTATACTCTTAAGCTTGAAAACTTCAAATCTTGACACTAGAAGTTTCTGAATAAATGAGGTATTACTACTGGACTTTGGTATTCACTTGTTACATGAATTAGAAGGTAACAGTTTCCATCTCAGAAGGGTTTTAGGAGGATTGTTGGGTTAACATTAATGAAATCTAAGAATTTTTTTCAGTAAAATATAACAATATTATCTAAATCCCATGTTGTATATATTATATAGGTCTTTTCCACCTCCTTAGTAACTGAATGAGAGAGAGGATATTTTTAATTCCTTCTCTTTATTCTGAAATGTATCTCTCTTTTCATTTATTCAACAAATAATTTGAGTGCCTGTTATGTGCCAGGATCTCTCATCAGGTACTGAAAAAAGGAACTGGGTTTGTTGTAACACTTTAGGTGATCTGAATAAAAATTCATTATTCAAAGTTATGCTGAACTGAGGAAGAGCACTTTTCACACATCAGATAGATTATATAATAGAGAATCCTTTCCCAGCAATTTATTATATATTGTTGGTTCCCAGAAAAGATTTTAGACTTTGGTATCAGAAAGATTGAATTATGTAAAATAAGGAAAATTTAATGAAAAGAAACAGAGAAGTAGATATACCAGACATTTGCCATGCTTTCTTCTACATGTTACCTTGATTTAGGAAGAAGTAGCTTTAAAGATGAACTGATTATAAGACGGAGGATGCAAACAGGAAGTATGGAATAGTAAGAAAATGAAGGAAGAAGATTGGCAAAATAATAGAGTTTTATTTATCTAATTTTCCCAGGAAATTGTGTGTCTTGTATAAATTGTTTTTCCATAGAACTGAACCCTAACTTTGAAAAAAAATCTGATGTAAATCTTTCTTTAGAAAATATCACCTACTTCTTTGCCTAATATTCAGGAAACAGGGAAGAAACAGCCTTTTTCTAAAACCCAGGGTCATTTTGCTGAACATAGTTGTTGTGCCATGCTTATGATACAGTGAATTTCTTGTTCTGGTGCTGTCAAAAGCTTACCATTTAAAAAGGAAATTTGGTGATGAGAAAAATCTAGTACTGAGAAACAATAAAAAATCTTGATGAATGAAAGAAAGTGACAATGTTAGAGTAGGTTATTAACGATGACCAGGACAGTCAAGTTGCCGTGATGGGTATTACTCAGGGTGACTTTGTTATTTGTATATCTTTGGACTTGCACTATTTTCCATTTCTCATTGGATTTGGAGAGTAAAGAGAATTGTCACAGCTGTCATTCTCCATCCCCAGTTGCAGTAGAACGTCTCATAATAGGTGAGAAATGTAAACTCTCTTATCTAATTAGTCTTTTGAGTTTTGGTGGCTTCAAAGTTGATTTTGATTGATTCAGGAATATATGATAAAAACCTATAGTGTTTAGTTTAAAATATGCTTTAATAATTTTAGTAGTACACATTTGAATGTGAAAAATCATGTCTGCCTTTTAAGAAAACAGAACTTTTTCTCAGTGAGGGGTGTCAGGTTTCATTTATTCAGTGGCAGTGATCCTTATGGAGTGAAAAATCTCTGAATTTGAATAGGCAGACCTTAGGGCTTTGCCTGATGAAAATGGGTATATTATTTAAGATAACCTTTACCATATGTGTATATTTAGGTAGCTGGCTGGTAATAGATTTGTCTTAAAACAGAAAATATGTCATAATGGATATGAGATTAAGAAAGCAGATTAACTGAGAAATTCCATTTGATACTCAATTTTTTTCTATAAAGTCTTGTTTTAAATTTACTAAACAGATAAGAAAAAAAATGTAGTGTGTTGAGAATTAGAGTATTACTAATTTCTCCACTTGCTAAAACCTGATTGCTTGGTCTATGTAATATACCATATTTCTCCTGAAGTAGCAATGACAAGGGGCAAGATAAAGCATCTGAAGATGTCTAGCAGGCATCTTAGAATTCAAAATTTTAAACATAAAATTCTTCAGTTGTAATGGTGTCCATATGTTGGGGAAAAAAGAAAAGCAAAGATGTTTTATGGAACCAGTTGCAGGTAAGACTGCTAATCTCTAAGGCAAACACACTCAGCTGGTAGATCACATTCTACTAAAAGATCTTGAAAAGGTGTGAGCAAGAAAAGAAGGCAAGTCTATACCGGGGAAGAAAATTTTGCCTGCGTTAGTGTGCTATTTGTGTTCTGCTAAGGGATTTTATTCTTTGCCTACCCGCTTCTCTCACTACTCAGTTATCTGAAGACTAAAAAATTGAAAAGTAAAGTATTGCTTTTAGCAACAAATTTAAAAAACAAGAAAGTGGTAAGCTAGGAGGAGTAATTGTTATGGACAGCAGGCAGCCAGGTCCTTTGACAGGTATAGAGTCTCCACTATGCTCCAGATACCATTTTGAACACTGAGATTATAAGGGTGAATAAAAATCAGTTGGATATATTTAAAACAGGTTACAAATTGGAAGGGCCATTGATGCTCATCTGAGTCAAGATGAGTTTACTCTATGTCCTTTATTACTCTGGCCTAAAAAGAAAGTAAGGAAAATATAAAATGTCCAAGAATTTGGTGTTTCTGTCTTTGAACTTAAAAAAAGCTAGATTTTCCTGTGTGTTTATCCACAAGGCAGTGGTAGCTGTTTCATCCATAAAATTCACCTTGAATTAAGGCTTGAATCTACAATGAAAGGCAGCAGTACCTCCAGTGCCAGAAAACAATGACCTAGAACTCCTTAACTCTTCATAAAAGGGCTTTGTACAGTCAAGGATTACATCCGTTTCACATTAAGCAACTTGGGCCAGATTTGTTCTTTACAAAGCCTTTCCTTGCAGTTGCTATGCCACAGAAAGCTATTGAAGTGCCATGTTTTTTGGCAGTTGGATTTTCTTATTTGTTATCAACATACATGAAAAAAAATACCTGGTGCTGTCTTGTTTTTAGTTCCATTTTATATAAGTATTTAACATCTTTTTGTTTGTTTTATGTATAAAATATTTTGAGTCATATTTTAAAAGATTTTGTGTGTTTTCCTTTTGCACAGTGTTAACTTGCTTATTATTATGTGACTTGGAGGGGTTGAAAAAATTCAAAACTGACTGGCCCAGAGATGAAGCTTTCCACTTTCTTTGACTCTCCTCAGGAAGCTGTGACACCCACTTCCATTCTCCTGCCAAATGTTTCCCTTCCATGACTTTGGTGCATAGACTTTGAAGCATTGTTGACCACATTGGCTGTTTGCCCAGAATCCAAATGCCCTGTATAATTTGCATAATAATTACCACTGATCTGCATATAGTATAGGCTGAACTGTCTTCTTGAATTTAAAGTAAAAATGTTTTAAGGATTAAAGCTTTTTTCCCTTACGTACTGCCCTTTTCTAGGTTTGAGAAGGGGTCATAGCTGTGTGTTTGCAGGCCCTAATCAGTTTCCACAGTTCTTTATATTTATTTCCCAGATTTCTCTACCTTTGTTGGACAGTTTCTTAGCTCCCATTCTGTATGCCCACACCTACAGCATTGTTTCCCTCTCACTGGCCATACCCCTCCTGATCAGATCTTCTAGTTTTCTTTGCTGTTTCAGCATAATGTTGTGCCTTTTTTTTTTTTTTTTTGCTTTCGTCAATAATGAAAAAGGAATCATTATTTTCACTCTTCCACATGTCTGATGAAAGGCAATTTTTTTTTTTTTTTGAGATGGGTTTTACTGTATTGCCCAGGCTGGAGTGCAGTGGCATGATGATGGCTCATTGCAGCCTTGACCTCCTGGCCCAAGTGATCCTCCCATCCTCAGCCTCCCAAGTAGCTGAGAGTACAGGTGTGTGCCACCACACCTGGCTAATTTTTGTATTTTAGTGGAGACGGGGTTTCCTCATTTTGCCCAGGCTGGTCTCGAACTCCTGAACTGAAGTGAGCCACCCACCTCAGCCACCCAAAGTGCTGGGATTACAGGCTTGAGCCACCATGCCTGGCCAAAAGGCAGCTTAATGTTGCACATTGAACAAGTTGTTGATAAATTGGAATACATGCAGCCTAAGGTGAGTTTCTCTGTGGTACCATCCAAACCAGGCTTGCAATACTCTTAATCTCAATAAGCCCAGAAAGACAAGGTTGCTTTGTCTCTTGTCTTCCTTCTTTTTACCCACTTCTATTTTTTAAAAAACTGAATTTATAAGTGCTGAATAATTTTCTTATTCAGTACTTATGCCCCAGATGGACCCCATACCCACTTCTAATTTATTTATTTGACAAATATTCTTAGGAATATGTTTAATAATAATTTAGTAGTTCTAGAATAACCTTAGTGATCCTAGACTGAAACAGACCATAAATTCTACCATATTGTAACTTGAAAAGTTAGTGTTCTCTTTTTTTTTTAGTAATAGGTAACCACTTACATGGTTCAAAAAAATGTGTTAAGTGGACAGTGTAAAACCTCCCTCCCATTTTATCTCTTGTCTGCCCAGTTCCCCAGCCATCACAATCAAGGTTATATACTTCTGTATATATATCCTTCTCAAGTAGTTTTTATGCCTATGCAAATATATATTCCTATATGTACCTTTTATATACAAAAGTTAGCAAAACTATACACTGGGTTCTAAACTTTGCCTTTTTTTTTTTTAACTTAACAAATCCTGACACGCTTTTCATATAAGTATATAGAGAGCTTTGTCATTTTATTTCACAACCACATAATATTAAATTGTATTCATTTTCCATGATTTATTTAATTAGCCCCATACTGATTGATATTAGATCATGTCTAAAGGCTTTTTTCCTGCATATATGAGAATTTGAAATTGAAAATATACCTGTGTTCACCCTAACTGAAGACTTAGGAACTCCATCACGCATAAGCATTACAGAGGAGAAGGCCGTGATGAGATCTTACTTAACCAGCTTCCAAGGTTTTATTAGTGATTTTTGCTCATTCTGAGTCACATTGTACTTTCCTACAGTTAATGATAACATTATTCTAATAGTCTTTTCAAGATCATTTAAGAACAAAATATTTCATAATCTGTGGTGACCGTTGTTTGCATTATCTTTTTTTTAAAATTACTATTTAATTACATTTTAAAAACTTATTTCTTTTGTTTTTGCCTTTTTTTTTTTGAACT
The DNA here is from genome assembly GCF_000001405.40 of Homo sapiens. Classification (NCBI taxonomy): domain Eukaryota; kingdom Metazoa; phylum Chordata; class Mammalia; order Primates; family Hominidae; genus Homo; species Homo sapiens. Next base: position 125,279,249 of record NC_000003.12, on the reverse strand, counting down.
AGATCCTTACAATAAATGAGGATGGATCACTTGGTTTGAAAACCCCTAAATCTCACGTTTGTGAGCACTGCAATGCTGCCTTTAGAACGAACTATCACTTACAGAGACATGTCTTCATTCATACAGGTATTTCTTGAATTAAAATGGGCTTGTGGCCATTAAAGTTATTATCTTTGTTATTTTCATCTTCGTGTAACTGTCATTCATTCCTAAGACCATAGCTAATCTGGCATTCCAAATCAGAGATTTTGTAGGCCAGAATGTCAGAAGGAAACCAGGAAAAACTCTTAAGTGAGAAAACAATTAGCATGGATGTGTAAAATTAATTAAATAGTCTTAATTGGACACCTGTTTGGCTTAATGTGCTCCATTTAGCTAGAGAAATGATTAAAGAATGTATTATTAAAAGCCTGTTTATCAGTGTTCATTTTTTGTGTGTGCAAAATGTCCAGGCAGAGTTTAAAACATGGATTTGGAAATCAAATATAAATAAATGATAGCTAAGATAATGAAATTGTAGAGAACAGTATTAAAGATGACAGACCTTTGGGTAAACAAACTAGACATGTAAGATGAAATGAGGAAGAAAAACAGTTATAAGGGAGATTCATTGAACTAGGAAAATAGTGTCCCAGAAGCTAGTAGAAGATAGAATTCCAAGCAGGATGTGACCAACAGTGCCAGTGCCCTAGGAGGATAGAGGTTAGAGAACCAAGAAAAAATCTTTGGAATAAATAGCAAGGAGATCACAAGTAGCTTTTCAGAAAGCAGAGTATAAGGGTTAAACCGCAAGTGGGCAGTGAAGAATTTGACTTAGAGTAGACTACTCTTTTAAGGAGGTGTAGTGAAAGAGAAGGAGAGAAAGTACTAAGGTAGAAGTGTTTCAGGACTGAAACAAGGTTTCTCAGCATAGAGCAGGCCAGAGAATACTTTCCTTAAAAGGAAAAGCCCCAGCAGAGAGAGAAAGTTTGAAGAGACAGGATCTTTTAAAAAAGGGATGTTTAGAAAGTTCTGAAGGTTCTGAAGAAAATATGTAAAAGGGCATAAATGGATGGTTAACTAGGGAGAAAACAGGATGGGCGCACCTTCTTCCAGATAAAAAGGAAGAAAAGATGTTTAGGACACGTGAGAACCTGTATTTCTTTCTCACCCCATGATGTTAAAATTCAATTTTAAATTGTTTTATTTATTTCCTTCCCCCCCTTGAATATATAGATCAAATTTAATCTTATTTTTCTGTGATTGTGAGAATATGAATTTTTAAATCCTGGGAAAAAAATTGAGAGGACATAAAATTCTGTTAATAACATTAAAAATTTGTATGGCTATTTTGTAATTTTCCAAAATTTGGGCATCTAAGATTTTTCTTTCCTCAGAAACAGTAACTAAAAACCGTTGTTTTATTCAGTAACTAATTTGTGGATGTGAAATTATTTTAAGGTGAAAAACCATTTCAATGTAGTCAATGTGACATGCGTTTCATACAGAAGTACCTGCTTCAGAGACATGAGAAGATTCATACTGGTGAGTGTTAACCACCCTTACTAGGTTCATTAAAATGATTATTTCAAATGGAGGGAAGAATTTTTAATAAGTGGCAGTGACTTGCTGCCATTTCCATTGGTTTAGACTATAAATCACAGGTTATCTTTTTTCTCCCTTCAATAAATCAATGTTAACTGTTAAGACTTAACTTTAATGTCCAAGCCCAAGAAATTACTTTGAAATAGAGTTGCATAATAACCTAAAATATATGTTTAAAGTCACAAAAGGAAGGAAGATTTTCTGAAATTGCTATTTCCTTAGGTGTTTACTGAACTCAAAATTATCGTTAATTAGTCTGGGGTAGGAAGCAAATTCCTGACTCCTAAAGCAGCAGTACAATTCATTCTCTTTCTTTCCCTTTCATGTATATACCTTACCCTTAGACATGTAATCTTAAAAAGTTGAGAACTGCCAATTTCTCAGTCAAGTTATTAATGATTTAGAAATTAAATATTCTAGAGGATTACTATAAAGGAACACATACCGTAAAAACCTAAGTCTCATTTTAGAGCAAATATTTATTTGCATCTATTTTTGCCAACGGTAAAACCAACTTTTATAAGTAACTTTGATTTAGTAGTCTGTTGACTTTGCCTTTGTTGCCTCTAAGCATGTTGAAAAGTGTTTCTTTAGAATTGATTTCCAGTGTTTTGCTTTTTGTGATGGAATAAAAGCAGAGTTGGTAAATTTGTATAACTTTGAATTTTACATTTGAATAGAATTGAGAATTGTGATAATATGAGAATATTGAAAATATTTAAGTTCTTCATATTTTTCTGTTTTAAGTACTCAAGCAAGTACCTGCCCAGTGTTGTTATTTTGATGTGTTCTCATGGGACCTGCAGTATTTGTGAAAGGACAGTTTGTCATATAGAAACAACCTTTTCTGTCTGATAACTTTTTTTTCAATTTTCTTTGCCCCCAAAAAGAAGCCTGAATGTGTCTGGTCTGCTTAAATAAAACTTTAACTGGGCTGGGCTCAGTGGCTCATGCCTGTAATCTCAGCACTTTGGGAGGCTGAGGTGGGCGGATCACTTGAGGTCGGGAGTTCGATACCAGCCTGACCAACATGGAAGAAACCCCGTCTCTACTAAAAATACAAAATTAGCCGGGCATGGTAGCACATGCCTGTAATCCCAGCTACTCGGGAGGCTGAGGCAGGAGAATTGCTTGAACCCGGGAGGCGGAGGTTGCGGTGAGTCGAGATCGCGCCATTGCACTCCAGCCTGGGCAATAAGAGTGAAACTCCGTCTCAAAAATAAATAAATAAAATAAATAAATAAATAAATAAATAAAACTTTAACTGTGCAACATGTCTGTATGCTTGGATGTTCTACTTTTTAACAATCATTTTGCACATTACTAGTTTCAGTTTTTTAAGTAAACGTATTCATCTCTTTTTATTAGAAGGGGCTATACTAGGCACTGTGGGAGAAAAAAATTTATAGATTTTGTGTGACTTATAGCTAAATTTAAATTCCTATATAACAATAAAACCTGATCAGATACAAATGAAAGTGATTATTTTTGTGTGTTCTTAATACCTAATAGGTTTTGATATTTTACTCATTCATTCAACAAAAATTTATTGAGCATCCAGTGTTTTTCAAGCACCAGAAATAGATAACAGAAGGCAGTTTCTTTCTTTGGAGTTTACGTTCTTGTGGAAAAACAGACGTGGAAAAACACACATATAAGCAAGCACAGTGCAGTTAAGTGTTGTAGAATTTTATACAAAATTCTCAAGATACTATTGTGCCCTGAGGAAGAGACACATGTGCTGTCCGTTCTTAGGGCAGGTGTCACAGAAAAGCCACATGAGGCTAAGTTAAGAATATATGTGTGTGGGTGGGTGTGTATCTGAAAAAAATATTTTTGAAACAATACTCACCTTCATTGCACTGTGATATTTTGTGTGTGAGTATGAATTCTTTTTTTAAAAAAGTGCTGGTCACAATCCTGTAATCAACTGCACTAGACCATGGGGAATCTTGGATTTAAGCAGAGTATAATGGGTTGTTAATGTTTGTTTAGAATTTACTAAGTACCAGAAAACTGTGTTAAATATCTCATTTAGTCCTCACATTAATCTTGAAAGGCAGGAGTTATTACTGTCCCCATTTTATAGATGAGGAGGTAGTAAGAAGTGCACATAAGTTAAGGAACTTTCCCAAATGTATATATCTAGTAAATGATGGAACCAAGATTTCAGCTCAAGCCTCTGTGAGTCCAGAGTACACATGTGAAATCACTGGCTATGCAGAATGGGACTAGAAGCAGAAAGTTATATTTGGGCCTTTTTGAGTTTTTCTTGCTCTGTCACTAAGCCAATTATGGCTTAGCCTTCCTATAGGTATAGTAGCATCTAAAAGTGGTAGAAGCAAAGGCTGGAGTTCTCATGTTAGAGAGAACAGTGTAGAAGAAGATAAGGAGTTGAGAGGAACCAGGGCAAAGCAATCACTAGGGTTCCTTAACAAAGAAAAGTTCTTTTGAAGAGAGAATCAATTCTGCCCTATTGTTCCCTCCCTACTAGGTGGAACTGATATAAGGGGATAGTTTTCCCTTCTTTACTTCGTATTCTTGATTCTTTTTATAGATTCTTTTTAAAGACAGTAAAATGTTTTTTGTTAAACCTATTTGGGAATATATATCTAGAACCACAAATAGGTCTCCATCATTTATTATTCTGTTCTTACTGTTCTTCCTTTCATTTTCTAAGTGACTTTTATTTTTGGAGGAGGGTAGTGCCCTGAAGTTTGCCCATGTGAAGGCTTTCTTTATTTGTAGGCCCTTAGTTTAGAAGAATGCATTTAAATAGTTACGGCATTAAAAAAGATTTTCCATATTTTTATCCATTTTTAAATTGTCAAATGAGTAATGAGTCACCTAACCGACCCTCAAAGGTTGGTGAAAACCATCTGCCCTTAAAGGCTCCATTTTCCATACATCCTTCCTTCTCCCTTTAGGTCTCATTATACTGTCTTCTCCTGGTCCCTCAGGCCTCCAAGCCCATTCTCTGCCCCTTTGCAACATAGTTAAAAATCATTACTTGCTTGGTAGCTGTGGCCAACAATAAAGAAACCTGTGTCTTATTAAAACCAAGAACATAGTTGATTTGGGTTCAAAAGGAAAAATTTTTAATGTGCTCTAGACAGGCTATTATTTAATTCCATTTCCTACATTTGGGCTTGTCTATGAAACACCATTTTAGGGGAGAGTACTTTTTCATCCAGAGGCTGGTCCCTGAAATTCTGGTTTAAGCTTTATTCCTTTAGACTATGGCACTGAAAACTGCCACATTGTAAATATCCTCAGGACTGCTATTTTTGGCAGTTATGGGAGATTTACCTTTTTTGTGAATATTATATTTTTTGTGAATATTACAGATCCTTTATTTAGGTGATGTTTTGGATGTGAGAGAGAAGATGAGGATTTGAGGCTAAGGTCGAAGATAATTATAATTGATCATTTTGTTTAGGGCCAGGATTACTGATCAAGCGCATATCAAGGTTAAACATTTATCATCATTGGCAGATTTCCTTGTGGATCAAGTACTTTTGTCTGACGTGCCCTTTCCTTGTCTAAGGTGCCTATTTTAAAAATGCATATATAGAATAAATGTTAGAATGGCATATATCCATAGTTGTGTTATTTTCTTCTCACCCCGTGAGCATTTTACTCTAAGAAACTGCCAGTCTTATCACCAAGAGGGATTGAGGAGTAAAAAACTTAAGTACAATTTTTAATTTTATTTTTGTAAATTCCTCTAAATAGTAAGCCACAGAATACCTATCCTGATGTTCTGTTATACAAATTATGGTAGCTTTTTAGTTATGCCAGTTTTCATAATTTATTTTTTATTTCAATTAGTAAAAATGTTACGAAGCTATTTCTATAGGGAAGTTTTTATAAATGATTCTCCTCCCGGCCGGGTGCGGTGGCTCACGCTGTAATCCCAGCACTTTGGGAGGCCACGGCAGGCGGATCACGAGGTCAGGAGTTTGAGAACATAGTGAAACCCAATCTCTACTAAAAATACAAAAATTAGCCAGGCGTGGTGGCACATGCCTTTAGTCCTAGCTACTCGGGAGGCTGAGGCAGGAGAATCGCCTGAACCTGGGAGGCGGAGGTTGTGGTGAGCAGAGCATGCCATTGCACTCCAGCCTGGGCAGCAGAGCAAGACTCCGTCTCAAAAAAAAAAAAAAGATTCTCTTCCCAAAAAAAAGAGATTTTTGAAAAAACTAAATCACTCAGAATTATATATGTTCACTAGGTTTCTTTTTCCATAAGGTTCTTTTTTAAGCCTTTAGTTCTTAGATGTATACAGTTCTCTCTGTAAAAATATAAAAACACTGGAAAACCTGTCATCTAAGTTAGTGTTCTTCATGCCTGAAAACACAGCAGTCCTCTTTTTCTCTTTACTATGACTTTTATTCACAACTGTATTAAATAGCTGTATTAAATAGCTGAATAATAACAGCATCTTATTTTTGTAAACCAGTTGGGCTAATGGGGTGGGGTTAGAGAGAATGTTGATTTACTCTTGACTAACTTAGCTTAACCCTTTATATTTCCCTTAGTATGGTTCAGTTATCGATAAAAATTAGTTTTCTGCTCACATTTTTCAAGCCCTAATTTATAGTTAATTAGCTCTAATAGAGAAGTCTTATGAAAGAAAATGTTAAAGACCTACTTAGAGTTTAACTCTTAATTTGTGAGGATGAAGGAAATGAATACTGTTTGTGTAACTGAGAATGTTGTGTGCACTACAAGCTCCTGGCATTGTGATTGCTGAAGCCCAGACTGCACTGGCATGGACAGAGCTTGCCAAGGAAGTATTAAGCAGAGAAGTATGGATTGCTGGGACTGACATTTTCTGCTTTAACAAAGCTTTTAGAAACCAATTTTTTTTTATCTGCAAAGCTGTTAATAATTCATACTAAAAGATTGGTTATACATAAAACATATAAAAGCTTAACACTATATATCAAAATATCCCAATAAAGACATAAAAGAGATCATTTATATGTGTGTATATATGTATATAATTAAAGTATGGTGTAATTAAATATATAAATTGATAAAAACCTGATATATATAAAAATATTAAACCATACTTAAATTTTTTTTGTTTAGGAGGATAGGGGAAGTCATCCAGAAGATTGATTCCATTTTATTATTATGTCTTACAACAGAAATATGGCAAATCAGAGGCTTTATAATGAAAGTTGCCCAGTTTTCAATTAAGTGTATGTATTTTATGTATGAGTATCCCTACCCCTCAAATCTATATAGAATGTTTTTGTTAGTTCATAGCAGCTATATTTAAAAAAGATGTGTAGCATTTGTTTTAACAAGTCTTTAACAAATTGAGACTTGGTTGAAGTGGTCTCATTCTTACATATAGTCATTGAATGAATGAACATGTGAATCATGTGACTCACAATTTGATGAAGCATATGTCAGATTTCCAACACAATGGTGCAGACAACCTGTGCTTTAGAATTTCATTGAAATAGACCAGACAATTCAGATTGGTGTCTTCATGGAAGAGATAGAACTTAAGTGATCTCAAGAGTGAATTTGATTTAGGCTTTGTAATCCATGTGTTGCATGGGAGTCAAGTGTCATCACAGGAACCATAGGTAGTAAAGCAAAGGTATGATGGAAGCCAGGACCAGAAAGAAAATCTACAGTGTACTGAAGGAAGCTGGGAATCGTTGGGCAAGAAGAGGTAAACAGATACTCAGATAATCGATTCAGAAACACACACAGGGTAGCAAGTTAAAACTGAGGCAGACCGGCAAACACCCAGACAGTTGCAGATGCTGGACAGGAGGCCAAGCAGTGTGTCATATATCCTGGCTTAAAAGAACCAGAAGGAGGCAGGTACTTCATTGCAGTTTAAAAAAACCTAGCAATTCCTAAGAATTCATGATTATCATAGACCTAGTGATACTTAAGTAAATTTATTGAGTACCTGTTCTCCACCAAGCACTGTAACCCAATACATAAATTATCTCACTTTATCCACACAGCAGTCCTGTGAGGAGGGTACTGGTATTCCTGTTTTACAGATAAGGTTCAAAATGATTAAGTCACCTCCCTCAGTGCGTATAACTGGTAAATAACAATCTAGCTCTTCGAAGTTTGTGCCCTTAACCAATATGCTGTTGAAAGGGTAGATCAAGCACCAAGGAAATTTCGAAGTGACATCAACTTTTGGTTTTAACCAGGGAGATTTTTATTTTGTTCAGGTAAGGGCAAAGCCAGTACTGAACCTGGCCTGTAGCCTGTATGTATGTAGCCTTCTACGCTTCGCTGAAACGAAGTCTGTGGGTGTAGGGGTAAGACCGGATTTCACAATGGAGTGGGCAGAGGCAAGATGTGCATGTAAATGGCCATTCTGAGGAAAGCAGGAAGGACGGGGAGAGTGGGGGTGAGGAGATAAGTCTAGAAAGCTTGATTTTGGAATTGCATTGTCTAGCCTTGATGCTAAGCTAAGGAATGTCAGATTTATCGTGTAAAGCATTATAAGATACCAAGGCATTTAACTGCCATGTTAAAAAAATACTGTTTTGTGAGGAAAGTTGGAAATTTGGAAAATAAGTTACTGTTAATTATAACTAATATGAAGAAAATTGTATAATATTTAATATTTTTATGCTAAAATATTTACTCATAATTACAAATGTATTAATCAAATTTAGGTATTTAAATTTTTTTAAAACAAATGGAACAACATAGTTAAGCTTTAAGGAATGTAATATTACTTTAGCTTTGGTCAGTTTGAGAAGTAGGCAAAACTTAAATACTTTTTTTGTTTTCAGAGATGAAGTCTCCCTCTGTTGCCTAGGCTGGAGTGCAGTGGCATGATCATAGCTCACTGCAGCCTCCACCTCCTGGGCTCAAGCAATCCTCCTGCCTTAGCTTCCTTGAGTTTCTGGGACTACAGGTGTGCACCAGCATGCCTGGCTAAAGTTATTTTTCACAGTAGTTTCTTATTTTTCTTATTTGTCCATAGTATGGTTTGGTTTGCCTTTTTAAAATATTTTCAAAAACTGTAGAAAATGTACTCTGAAACAAGATAAGTTTCTCTACTCTTTGACTTGTTAACCTGCCTTCCTTTAATGTAGGGCCCCCTGAAAAATTATTTTACATTCTACAGAAGATGAAACATTCATTCAGTTGGGTCTAGATATAATGCTTTGTTTTACAAATTATTTCACACCATATTCTTTTGGAAAAATACTCAATTACTTCTTTAAACTCAAACTCCTGAAGACCTCAGGATTTTTGAATATTGGAAGCACACCACCATGCCTGGGTAATCTTTTTTAATTTTTTGTATTTTTTTTTTTTTAGAGATGGAGTCTCCCTATGTATCCCAGGCTGGTCTGGAACTCCTGGGCTCAAGTGATCCTCCGATTTTGGCCTCCCAGAGTGCTGGGATTATAGGCCTGAGCCACTGTGCCTAGCTTCAGTGTGCATTTTTAATTATTCCAGAAAATATACTCAGTTTACTCTTAATTACCTAGGAGTGAATTGACGAGGTCATAGGTTAATTATTAAACTTTTTTTAATTAAAATTTTTACTTTAGATTCAGGGGGTACATATGCAAGTTTCTTACAAGGGGATATTGCATGATTCTGAGATTTGGGCTTCTATTAATCCTGTCACCCAGACAGTGAACATAGTACCCAATAGGAAGTTTTTCAGGCCTTTCCCCCATTCCTTCTCTTCTTCCTTTTGGAGTCCCTAGTGTCTATTGTTCCCATTTTTTACGTCTGTGTGTACCCAAGATTTAACGCCCACTTATAAGTGGGAACATGTGTTATTTGGTTTTCTGTTTTTTATGTTAATTCACTTAGGGTGATTGACTCCAGCTGCATCCATGTTTCTGCAAAAGACATGATTTTGCTCTTTTTGTGGCTGTGTAGTATTCCATGGTGTATATGTACCACATTTTCTTTATCTAGTCCACTGCTGATGGTTACCTGTGTTGATTTTGTGTCTTTGCTTTTGTGAATAGTGCTGCCATAAACGTATGAGTGCATGTGTCATTCGGTAGAATTTTTTTTTCCTTTGGGTATGTACCCAGTAATGGGATTGCTGGGTCAAATGGTAGTTTTGTTTTTACTTCCTTGAGAAATCTCCAGACTGTTTTTCACAGTCGCTGAAATAATTCACGTCTACCAATAATGTATAAGTGTTCCCTTTTCTCTGTAGCTTCGCCAACATGTTTTTTTTTTTTTGACATTTTAATAATAGCCCTTCTTAGGGATGTGAGATAGTATCTCATTGTGGTGTTCATTTTTTTTTTTAAAGATGATGTTGCTATGTCACTTAGGCTGGTGTGCGATGGCATGATCTGGGCTCACTGTGGCCTCAACCTCCCGGGCTCAAGCGATCCTCCCACCTCAGGCTTCTGAGTAGCTGGGACTGCAGGTGCACGCCACCACTTGCAGCTAATTTTTGCTTTTTTTTTTTTTTTTTTTGGTAGAGACCGGGCTTCACCATGTTGCCCAGGCTGGTCTCAAATTGCTGGGCTCAAGCGATCCACCTGCCTTAGTCTCCTAAAGTACTGGGATTACAGGAATAAGCCACTGTGCCTGACCTTTTTCATACGTTGATTGCTTGTATGTCTTATTTTGAGAAGTGTCTGTTCTCATGTCCTTTGACCAGTTTTTAATGGGGTTGTTTTTTGCTTGTTGATTTAACTGCCTTACAGGTTCTGGATATTAGTTTCTTGTTGAATTCATAGTTTGTGAATATTTTCTCCCATTCTGTAGGTTGTCTGTTTACTCTGCTGATTCTTTTGCTATGCAGAAACTCTAGTTTCTTTAAGTCCCACTTGTCAATTTTTGTTTTTGTTGCAGTTTTTTTTGTAGAGATCAGGTCTTGCCATGTTGCCTAGGCTGGTCTTGAACTCCTGGCCTCAAGCAGTCCTCTTACTTTGGCCTCCCAAAGTGCTAGGATTGCAGGTATGAACCACTATGTCCTGCCTGTCAGTTTTCATTGTTGTTGCAATTGCGGGACTTAGTCATAAATTCTTTGCCAAGGCTTATGTCTGGAAGGGTATTTCCTAGGTTTTCTTCCAGGATTTTTATAGTTTTTGTTTTACATTTAAGTCTTTAATTTGTCTTGCATTAATTTTTGCATATGGTGATAGGTAGAAGTCCACTTTCATTCTTTTGGATATGGTTAGCTAGTTTCCACTGCACCATTTATTAGGGGTCTTTTCCCCATTGATTATTTTTTGCCAACTTTCTTGAATATCAATTGGTTGTAGGTGTGCAGCTTTTTTTTCTGGGTTCTCTATTCTGTTCCATTGGTTTGTGTATCTATTTTTGTACCAGTACCATGCTGTTTTGGTTACTGTAGCCTGTAGTATAGTTTGAAGTCCTGGTTTTGTTCTTTTTTGGCTAGGATTGCTTTGGCTTTTGGGGCTGTTTTTTTTTTTTTTGGTTCTATATAAATTTTAGAATAGTTTTTTCTATGTCTGTGAAAAATGATATTAGTAGTTCGATAGGAATGGTGGTGAATCTGTAGATTGCTTTGGGAAGTATGGACAATTTTAATGTTATTGATTCTTCTAGTTCATTAACATGGAACTTTTTTTCGTTTGTTTATGTCATCTGTGATTTCCTTCAGCAGTGTTTTTTAGTTCTTCTTATAGAGATCTTTCACCTTCTTGGTTAGATGTATTCCTAGGGTATGGGTATGTGTGTGTGCATCTAGTGTAAATGGGATTATGTTCTTGATTTGCCTCTCAGTTGAATGTTATTGGTGTATAGAAATGCTGTTGATTTTGTATCCTGAAACTTTACTGAAATTGTTTATCATGTCTAGGAGCCTTTTGGCAGAGTCTTTAGGGCTTTCTAGATACTGAATCATATGGTCAGCAAAGAGAGATAATTTGAGTGTCTCTTTTCCTATTTGGATGTCTTTTATTTCTTTCCCTTGCCTGATTACTCTGGCTAGGACTTCCAGTACTATGTTGAAGAGGAGTGATGAGAATAGGCGTCCTTGTCTTGTTCCAGTTCTTAGGGGGAATGTGTCCAGCTTTTGCCTGTTCAGCATAGTGTTGATTGTGGTTTGTCATAGATGGCTCTTATTATTGTGAGGTATGTTCCTTTGATGCCTAGTTTTTTGAGGGTTTTTATAATGAAGGGATGCTGGATTTTATCAAAAGCTGTTTCTGTGTCTATTGAGATGATCATATGATTATGTGATTTTTGTTTTTAATTCTGTTTATTTGGTGAATCACATTCATTGATTTGCATATGGGGAACCAGCATTGCATCCCGGGAATAAAGCATACTTGATCAAACTGAATTAACTTTTTGGTGTGCTCCTAGATTCAGTTTGCTAGTATTTTGTTCAGGATTTTTGCATCTATTTCCATCAGGGATGTTGGCCTTTAGTTTTGTTTTTTTTTTTCCCCGTTGTGTCTTTGCCAGATTTTGGTATCAGGATGATACTGGTTTCGTAGAATGAGTTAGGGAGGAATCCCTTCTCCTTGATTTTTTGGAATGGTTTCAGTAGGATTGGTACCAGCTGTCTTTTGTACATTTGGTAGAATTCAGCTGTGAATCCATCTGGTCCAGGGCTTTTTTTTTTTTTTTCTTTCCTGGTTGGTGTGTTTTTTATTAGTGATTTAATTTTGGAACTCGTTATTGATCTGTTCAAGGTTTGAATTTTTTCCTGATTCAATCTTGGGAGGTGTGTGTTTATAAGAATTTAACTATATTCTCTAGATTTTCTAGTTTGTGTGTATAGGGGTGTTCATAATAATCTCATTGGAGCTTTTGTATTTCTGTGGGATTAGTTATAATGTCACTTTTGTTGTTTCTGATTGTGCTTATTTGAATCTTTTTCTTTGTTAATCTAGCTAGTGGTCTGTCAATCTTGTTTATCCTTTCAAAGAACCAACTTTTTGTTTTGATTCTTTGTATGGTTTTTGGGTCTCAGTTTCATTTCTACTCTGTTTTCTTTTATTCCGTTAGCCTTGGGATTAGTTTGTTCTTGTTTTTCTAGTTCCTTTAGGTGTGATGTTACATGATTAATTTGAAATCTTTCTGTCCTCTTGATGTGGGAGTTTAGTGCTATAAACTTTCCTCTTAACACTGCTTTTGCTGCATTCTATAGATTTTGGTAGGTTGTGTCTCTGTTTTCGTTTGTTTCAAAGAATATTTTGATTTCTGCCTTGATTTCATTGTTTATCCAAAAGTCATTCAGGAGCAAGTTGTTTAGTTTCTAGTAATTGTGTGGTTTTGAGGGTTCTTCTTGGTATTGATACCTATTTTTATTCCAATGTGGTCTGAGAATGTGCTTGGTATGACTTCCATTTTTTTGAATTTATTGAGACTTGATTTATGGCCCAACAAGAGGTTGATCTTAGAATATGTTCTGTGTGCAAATGAGAAAAATGTATTTTCTATGGTTGTTGGGTAGAGTATACTGTAGAGCTCTATTAGGTCCAGTTGGTCGAGTGAGAAATTAGACACTTGTCCAGAATTTCTGTGTTAGTTTTCTGCCTCAATAATCTATTTAAGGCTGTCAGTGGGATGTTGAAGTCTCCCGTTATTGTATGGCTGTATACATCTTTTCCTAGGTTTAGACGTATTTGCTTTATGAATCTAGGTGCTCCAATTTTGGGTGCATATATATTTAGGATAGTTAAGTCTTCTTGTTGAATTGAACCCTTTATCATTATAAAATGACCTTCTTTGTCTTTTTTTACTGTTGGTTTAAAGTCTGTTTTATCTGATACAAGAATAATGACCCCTACTCTTTCTTGTTTTACATTTGTGTGATTAGTTAAAATTAAAGAGACAAGTGCATTAATTAAAAAAACAAAATGACTGCAAACACAAAAAGAACAACCTATTTGTTGCTGTTTGAAGACACACAGTATTCTATATGGGCCTATTGTACTTACATAATGGAGGAACTCTACCTTAAAAATCAATCATATATATTCTTTCCCACTTCATCTCTCTTCACCTTAAAAATCAATCATATATGGTCTTGCCCACTTCATCTAACTTTTAGTTCTTTATCAATGGATAGAGGGGGAGGACGTGGAGTTTGATCCACTCTAACTCTAGAGTCCTGAGAAAGTCTAACTTTATCCCAATAGAAAAATCTTGTTGTGCTCTACCTGTTCTGCAGACATTTTGTTTTCTTAAATGATATTTAGGAGAAATAGACAATGGACTTATAGGAACCTGAAAGGTATTATTTTAAAATGTTAGGATTCCGTGACAAATCCAAGGGAGTTTGGCTTATGCAGAAGCCTTTGACAAAAATGCTAGAGACTGGCTGGGAAACTTTTGAGGTGCTGTTATTAAGGAGATGCGATGCCAGGCAAGGCTGAAGAAGCTCTTGATTGTTACAGGGTGAGTGGAGGCTAGCTACTAAAAGCAATACTTGATGCTATGCTTTAATCATCCAGACTTCAGCTAGATTATTTAGTAGGAGAATTTGCTCAGTGTCTAACATTATCTAGGCCTTTTCTGATATTAAAAAGTAAAAGATTGCAGTGAAAAAATAAGCAGTAGTAACAGACTATCTTAGCAGAATAAAAGTATTTTTGTTCATTTTCCACCTTGTATTTTATGTGGTATTTTGTATTCGAAAGCTGTTCTTGGAATATTGTGTATAAACTTGAAGTTTACATGAAATCATTACTCTTTTGAACTGAGAGTTAAAGCTACTTACTCTATAACAGCCTGGATATATTCACTCAGCAGCGTTTGGGTTGTAGATCTAATTAATTAGCCATTAAATTTTTTTCCCCTGAAGGAAACTAACTTCTGAAACTAATCTCAGTCTCTCTTTCCCCTGCCTCATTGAAATGATTGTTTAATGATGAGATTTCTCAGGAATACTACTATCATACTCTAGCAAAGTATATTTTATTAAGTGATGAGGTTCTGAAAAAGACCTGAAGACTGAAAATTGAATGAAATGGACATGAAAGGCATTTCAGAGGAAAAATAATTACAGATGAAATTTAATAGTTGTTTAAACAGAAGAAATTGGAGTGAAACTAATATAGGAGAATGGCTTTTAAACTTTTTTTGATGGAACTCTGATTCTCAAATGAAATCCTACATGGTATCAACATCAATAGTCAATTAAAAAACAAGGCAGATGATTTCAAGTGGTTTTCCTTGGCTATTGATGAGTTGACAGATGGTACCAATTACTATGATCTGTTTCTACCCACTTCTGACACCAAGTGTGTGGGTTTTTCCTCATACCAACAAACACTTCTCCAACTCTTTGGACACCAGCCGGCTGTCCTATTATACAGTTTAATTAAATGCTGACACTAACTACTTGGAGTTAGCATCAGATCCTGCAAGTTAAGGGCTCAGTCCCACAAGGCTGCCCCCTCTTCGGATGCCAATCACAAGTTTAGGCCTCTTGTACTTCTGACCAACTGGCTATAAATCATGGGGGGAGGGAGTTTGGATAATTTGCTATAACAGTTTACAGAACCCAGGAAAGTGCTTTACTTACATTTACCATTTTATTACAAAGGATTCAGTTGTACAGCCAGATGAAGAGGGTCCACAGGACAAGGTCTGGAAGGGTCCCAAGTACCGGAGCTTCTGTCTTGTGGATTTAGGGTGTGCCACCATCCTGGCACTTGGATGTGTTCACCAACCCAGAAGCTCTCAGAACCTCATTACTTAGGGGCTTTTATGGAGGTTAGTAATGTAGGCATGATGGATTGATTATTAACTCAGTTTCTAGCCCTTCTTCCCTTCCTGGAGGTTGAGGAGAATGGGGCTGAAATTTCTAGGCTTCTACTCAAGGCCTTGTCTTTCTGGTGACCAGCCCCTATCCTGAAGCTATCTAGGGTCCCAGAAAGATCGCCTCATTAGAACGAAAGAGGCTTCTATCACCCAGGAAATCCCTAGGGTTTCAGGAGTTCTGTGTCAGGAATAAAAGACACTGCTATCACTCAGGAAATTGAAAGGATTTTAGGAGCTCTGTCAGGAATCAGGGACAAAGACCAAATATTAGAACAAAAGATGCTTTTATCACCCCGATCACTCAGGAAATTACTAGAGTTTTAGGAGCTCTTTGTCTGGACCTGGGGACAAAAATTGAATGTATATTTCTTTTTTTTTTTTGAGACAGAGTCTTACTCTATTTCCTAGGCTGGAGTGCAGTGGCACAATCTTGGCTCACTGCAACCTCAGTCTCCCGGGTTCAAGTGATTCTCCTGCCCCAGCCTCCTGAGTACCTGGGATTACAGGTGCATGCCACCACACCCGGCTAATTTTTGTATTTGTAGTAGAGACAGGGTTCCACCATGTTGGCCAGGCTGGTCTCGAACTCCTCACCTCAGATGACCCACCCGTCTTGGCTTCCCAAAGTCCTGGGATTACAGGCGTGGGCCACCGTGCCCAGCCTAAATATATATTTCTTATACTACAATATTACCCTGTTATTTACTCAAGAAGTCAATACTAGGTTTGAAGTGACTAAAGAATTCATCTCTGTGCAACAACTATAGGCAAGAATAGTTTCAAAATGGAATTATACACTTTAAATGGATGAATGGAATGGTATGCAACTTAAATGTCAAGATGTTTTCAAAAAAATGAGTAAAGAACTTGACAAAACATTTTAATATAAACTGAAGTGGATCTGCTAAGTTGTGTTACAGCGAATGGTGGGAAAAAAAATACATGTGGAACAGAATAGTTTAGTTGAACTAATTTACAAAGCTTGAGAAATACAAAGCATTTAAAGTTTATGGCCTTTCATGTTAGTATTTGTGACCAGTACTTTGTGAGAAACATTTGAATACATTATGTGTCATTGAACCAATAGTGTCAATAGTGAACTTCATTTGCTCTGGTGGGCTTAACCATTATCAGTGTTCCATGAATTTCTGTCAGCTATGGAAGCTGAATGTTCTGATTTACTCTATTATATAGCAGTTTAATATCTTAGAAGTGGTAAAGTCTTATTGGGAGCTTTTGAATGTAAAGCCAAAATTAAACTTTTTCTGAATTAATATCACCAATCTCAATCACTGAAGAATAGCTTTAGAAATTAGCTTCTGCTGAAGACTTGAAAATGTTTCTTAATAAATTCAGCCTGTTATTACAAGGGAAACCAGTGTTTATATGTGAAATTTCTCCCATGATAAAGTTATCTTGACAGCACCTAATATTGAATCACAAAATGCTGTTTTATGTACTTCCTATGCTATCAGTTAGAACAAGAAGCAAAATCTCCACTCTCACACAAATAGGCAGTGGATGTATTTTCCAAGCTCAAACTACAATTTCGTCAGATTTTGGACCTTGATGCAAGTGCAAAGAAAGTTTTCATATTTCAGAATCCACTTAATTGTGCAACTCTGCCTACTCTTTAATTGGAAGTAGTTAATGTCCAGTGTAATACATGATAAAAGGCAAATATCAGGGATCTAATAAAATTTTCTGTAAATGCCTTCCAAGTGGTGAATAATGCTTGATAAAATCACATTTTCATGGATTGATATCAGTATCTGTCTTTGTGACAAGACGGTTTCAAAGATGAAATGCATAAAATCTCATTGCAGATCAGCATTAACATACATTTACAATTGATTTTAATGATAGGGAATGCTAATTTTGAAGCCCTATAAAAGAGAATTCCAGCGTTTTCATTAGTAGAACTGTATGGTGAAAAGTTATGCATTATTATTATCATAGTTTGAATTTCATTAATAAAATTTTTGTGGAAATTGTTTTCTCTCTTATATGAGTTTGTATACAGTATCCTTGATTTTACCTTTTGGTCTACAAAGCTTAATATTATTTACTCTGTGGCCCTTTGTGTTAAAAAAAAAAAAAAAAAAACTTGTCAACCCCTGTCAGGTTATTTTGAATGCCCCACCCTCTCAGTTCTTAGACCTCTGTTTTCTTGGTGACACTGTCATTTATTCTTCCTCTGTCATGGTCATGTTAGACTAGTGCTCACCAAGCTTTAGTCTTCCTGTGACTGTAGTTTCTTATTTCCCAGGCACTCTCTCCTATCAGTCCTCCTCATGTCGTTTAGTACTTAGGTTTCAACAGTCCTTTGTCTTCACAAGGACCCACAATCCAGTGATTCTACCTCCTTTTCACTATCCCTCATTTTCCTCATATCTTCATTTTCCTTATTTAATTTAAATTGTCAACATTTATCATATTCACTACCTTGCTTACATTCATACCCTTGCCCTCTCATACATAGTACTTACGTTGGCTAAATTACAGCCATAAGTAAATTTAATGATCTTTTTATTCACCTGACTGTGTTACTCCAACAGAAAGCCACAGTGAATTAGGGTCACTTTAGATTTTAAGAGGGCCCATAATGACTTCTGGAAATGATTTCCTTAGTCCTTTCATTCTCCTGCTCATCCAGATTGGGTCTTTAGTTCAAACAATGGGCCAGCTCCACCTGTCTATTGTCGTAATTAAAATTTTATTGGAACAGAGCCTTACCAGTTCCTTAATGTATTATCTATGGCTACACAGCAAAGCTGAGTAGCTGTGACAGAGATCATATGGCCCCTGAAAGCCTAAAATATTTACTTTGTGGCCCTTTTAAAAGCTTGTCAGTCTTTCTCCTAAACAGGTGTTTCATACATTCTCCTTTCCATAAACCTCCAACACTTCCCCCACCCTGTATCAATCACTGAGCAAATTGAAGTAATCAGACGAGAAATTCAGTAAGTTTGTAGTACTTCTGCTTATCAATAAATCAGGAAGTTTTGATCTTTTGGAGAAACATGGGCAAATAGTGATTTATTTTATTTTGCAAAAAAGCTCAGGATTTTTTCCAATGTTTTGTTTAAGTATGTTTAGGTATGTATAGGTAGTTTAAATCTTCGTTTTCCATGAAGGGAAATATGTGTTGTTGACCTCAGACTTCTTTTAATGTACAATTTACATACAATAAGCTTTACCATTTTTAGTGTATAGTTCTGTGCGTGTTGACAGTTTTGTAACTACTACCACAGTCAAGATACAGACTAGTTCTGTCACTCCCCAAGGGTCCCTTGCACTTTTTGAAGTGAGCCCCTCTCCTACCAACACCCCATGACAAACACTGATAAGATTTTTGTCTCTGTAGTTTTGCCTCTTCCAGAACATCATATAAATTGAATTATATGGTATGTAGCTTTTTGAATCTGACTTACTTCACTTAGTATAGTGCATTTGAAAGTCATCTGTGTTGATGCACCAATAATTCATTGCTTTTTATTGCTGAGTAGTATTCCATTGGGAAAATACCTTGGAGTGATATTGCTGGGTCATATGATAGATGGACAGGCATACCTCATTTTATTGCACTTCACTTTACTACACTTTGCAAATTACAGTGTTTTTTTTTTAATTGAAGGTTTATGGCAACCCTGTGTTGAGCGTCTGTCAGCATCATGTTTCCAGCAGCGTGCACTCACTTTCTATCTCTGTGTCATATTTTGATAATTCTTTCAATATTTCAGACCTTTTCAGTATTACCTGTTGTGGTGATTTGTGATCGGTGATCTTTGATGTTACTATTGTAATTGTTTTGGGGCACCACAAACTGCACCCACATAAGAGAGTGAACTTAATCGATAAGTGTTGTGTGTGTTCCAACTGCTCCACCAACTGGCTGTTCCCTCATTTCTCTGCCTCTACTGTGACCCCATTTCCTGAGACACTACAATATTGAAATTAAGCCAGTTAACCCTGCAGTGGCCTCTAAGTGTGCAAGTGAAAGGAAAATTTGCACACCTCTCACTTTAAGTCAAAAGCTAGAAATGATTAAGCTTAGTGAGGAAGATACGTTGAAAGCCAAGAGAGGCTGAAAAGCTAGGTCTCTTGTGCCAGTAAGCCAAGTTGTGAATGCAAAGGAAAAAGTTCTTAAAGGAAATTAAAAGTACTACTGTAGCCCCCTGACCTCAAGTGGTCTGCCTTCCTCAGCCTCCCAAAGTGCTGAGATTGCAGGTATGAGCCACCGCACCCAGTGCAATGAAGTATTTTTAAATTGTGATAATGTACATTGGTTTTTTTTAGACGTAATGCTATTTTACACTTAATAGGCTATAGTATAATGTAAACATAACTTTTACATGTTTTACATGCACTGAGAAACAAAAAAATTTGTGTGACTTGCTTTATTGTGATGTTAGCTTTATTGTGGTTGTCTGGAACTGAACCTGCAATATCTCCAAGGTATGCCTGTATGTTTAATGTTATGAAAAATCACCATAGCATTTTCCAAAGCAACTATACCATTTTACATCTCCACAGTATCTTATGAGATTTCTGGTTGATCTGTGTCCTTGACAGCACTTGGCACTGCTATATTTCATTTTAGTCATTCTAATAAGTGTGTACTAGTATCTCACTGTGGTTTTACTATAAGGACCTAACATGTTGAGCATTTTTTCATGTGTTTATTTGTATATTGGGTAGAGGAATAATGTGTCTGTTCAGCTATTTTACGCATTTAAAAAATTGGATTCTTTCTTTCCTTATTGTTGATTTTTGAGAGTTTTTCATTTATTGGATATGTGATTTGCAATTTTTTTCCCATAGATTGTTTTTCAAATTGATGAAGTATTTTTTTCTCAAAAGGCCTCTTAGTACTTTCCAAGATATAACATCATGTTTAATTTTATTTTTCTGTGCAATATACAATTAACTTCGTATTTCTAACTGTAATATAAAATAAAAAGTAAAAGGGTAATGAGTTTACATTAACATATTTTTTTGAAATAGGCAGAAATCCAAAACCAAAAATTTGGCATATCAGTTAGATTTGATTTTTCTTTGTTGAGTTTGGAGCCTAAGTTTTATTATATATTTTAAAGAACATTATGAATTTTTAAATATTCAATGGGTAATGTAAGTATTCTTACATAACATCTATTTCTTAAAAAATGGGTTAGACTGTTTTAAGTAAAATAAGTTACTTAAAATAAAAGTTTACTACCAAACTGAAGCACTAAAAGATTTAACTTATATCATATGGGTAATAAATTACATTTGGAAAATATTTTAACATATGATTAATTTGTATTTATTCTTACTAATTTTCAGATTCATGCTTTGCTTGTAGCAATTAAAATGTAGTTACAGCCAGGTGCAGTGGTGCACACCTGTAGACCCAGCTACTTGGGAGGATAAGGTGGGAGAATCATATCATGAGCCCAGGAGTTTGAGCCCAGCCTGGGTAACATAGGAAGATGCTATCCCCCTTTTTTTTTTTTTTTTTTTTTTTGAGATGGAGTCTCACTGTCTCCCAGGCTGGAGTGCAGTGGCGCAATCTCGGCTCACTGCAAGCTCTGCCTCCCGGGTTCACGCCATTCTCCTGCCTCAGCCTCCCGAGTAGCTGGGAATACAGGCACCTGCCACCATGCCCGGCTAATTTTTTTTGTATTTTTTAGTAGAGATGGGGTTTCACCGTGTTAGCCAGGATGGTTTCGATCTCCTGACCTCATGATCCGCCCACCTTGGCCTCCCAAAGTTCTGGGATTACAGGCGTGAGCCACCGCACCCAGCTGGAAGATGCTATCTCTTTAAAAAAAATGCAGTTACCACAGTATATATGAAATTAACAGTATGATCTCAGTAAGTGAAGACCCTCATTCACATTAAATAATCTAAAAGTCCATAGTAAAATTAAGGGACCTGATGCTATTAGAGAGAATAGGTTATATAAAGTCTTAGAACTACTATTGTAATTGTATTACAGTTTTTGGTACTTTGCTTGTCACTGACTAGAAGGAACACTATAAAGGTAGGGAAGGTGAAGGAGGCAGAATAGGAAATGAGTAACAAGACAAGAGCAGTTTTCAGAAGAGGAGGAAACAGTTGAGATGAAAAAACAATGAGTATAATACTTCTGCAAATATTTCAGGGATTTATGAAGTCATGGTGAACATTAGACATCCGGAAGCAGTTTTTATTAAAAATAAAAATTTTTGAGGGTAGAGAGAAATGGGAAGGAAAAGAAGCATTTCCTTATTTTGAAAAACCACAGAGTTGTGGATTTGCCACAAATAACCTAGTCTGAAAATGGCGTAATCCCCTGTATGTGCTCTGGAGAAGAAAGGGTGAACTTTTTTTTTTTTTTTTTTTTTTTAATAGAGACGGAGTCTCGCTCTGTCGCCCAGGCTGGAGTGCAGTGGCGTGATCTCAGCTCACCACCAACCTCCGCAGCCCGAGTTCAAGCGATTCTCGTCTCAGCCTCCCACGTAGCTGGGACTACAGGTGCACGCCACCACGTCCAGCTAATTTTTTTGTATTTTTAGTAGAGACGGGGTTTCGCCATGTTCAGGCCAGGCTGTTCTCAAACTCCTGACCTCAGGTGATCTGCCCACCTTGGCCTCCCAAAGTGCTGGGATTACAGGCGTGAGCCACCGTGCCCGGCCAAACCTATTTTAAAAGAAGAAATTATAATCCAGTCCCTGTAATTTTTCATATACAGTGTTTCTCATCCAATAAAAGTTACAGTCCATGCTAAGTGACAGAACAGAATGACAGAAAGCCAAGAGAAAAATAGATAATAAAAACAAACTCATGGGTGATTCAGAGATTAGAGTTATCAGAGTAGAGTTTTTAAACTGTTACTGACATTTAAGAAAATAGTGGAAAAGGTATGGAAAATAGATGAAAAGAGAAATAATTTTACCAGAGAATTGCAGTTTGTAAAAAAAAAAAAAAAAAAAAAAAACTGGAAGTTCTGGAACTGAAAACATAATAACTGATATAAAAAACATTGCACATAAGTTTAATGGAAGATTAGAGACAACAAAAGAGAAGATTAATGAATTGAAAGACATCAGTAGGAAATATCACAGAGAAAATGAAAACAGAGAAAGAGACATGGGACACAATCTTTACTGGGATTCCTCACTTCTCTCAAGGGTAGTACATGACTAGTAGGAAAGGATAATTTACTGCATAGAATGGATGTCTTAGAGCATTAGGGCTTAATTTTTTGTTTTGTTTTGTTTTGTTTTTTTGAGATGGAGTCTCACTCTGTTGCCCAGGCTGGAGTGTAGTGGCACGATCTCGGCTCACTGCAGCCACTGCCTCCTGGGTTCAAGCGATTCTTCTGCCTGAGCCTCCCGAGTAGCTGGGATTACAGGCATCTGCCATCATGGCTGGCTAATTTTTGTATTTTTATAGAGATGGGGTTTCACCATATTGGCCAGGTTGGTCTTGAGCTCCTGAGCTCAGGTGATCCGCCCGCCTTGACCTCCCAAAGTGCTGGGATTACGGGCATGAGCCACCACACCTAGCCAGGGCTTAATTTTTTTTTTTTTTTTGGGAAATGGAGTCTCGCTCTTTGACCCAGGCCAGACTGCAGTGGTGCTGTCTCGGCTCACTGCAAGCTCCACCTCCTGGGTTCACGCCATTCTCCTGCCTCAGCCTCCCGAGTAGCTGGGACTACAGGCACCTGCCACCGTGCCCGGCTAATTTTTTTTTCTGTATTTTCAGTAGAGACAGGGTTTTGCTGTGTTAGCCAGGATGGGCTCGATCTCCTGACCTCGTGATCCACCCGCCTCGGCCTCCCAAAGTGCTGGAATTACACTGCGCCCCGCCGATTTTTTTTTTTAAATGGAATTCTAATTGAGGAAAGCTGGGCATATTTATAATTGGAATCCCAGATAAATACGAGAAAGAACAGTGGCTGAACTTTACAAAATTGATGAAGAATATCAAGCCATGTCTATTAATCCCAAGCAGGTTAAATTTTTTTTAAAAAACGAACCAAGGAGGCACATCATTTGAAACAGCTGAAAACTAAAGACCAAGAAGATTTTAAAGACAGGCAGGGAAAAAAAAGACAAATTATCCTCAAAGAACCAGTAAGAAGAGTGGCTGCTTTTTCATTAGAAATGAAAAAAATGGAATGTCAGAGAAAAATGGAATGACATCTTTAAAATGCTGAAAGCTAACCTAGAATTCTGTCCCTTTATGACTAGTTCCCTAACTAGTCATAAAAAACGAAGGTAAAATTAAAATGTTTTCAGGTGAAGAAAAACTGAGTAAATTTGTTCCCAGCAGTCTCACACTAAAAGAAACCATAGTTCCTTAGGTTGAAAAAAAAAGATCCCATATGAAAACATGGAAATGTAGTCAAGAGTGGGCCAGGCATGGTGGCTTATGCCTGTAATCCCAGCACTTTGTGAGGTGGAGGCAGGTGGATCACTTGAGGTCAGGAGTTCGAGACCAGCCTGGCCAACATGGGGAAACCCCGTCTCTACTAAAAATACAAAAATTAGCTAGGCATGGTGGTGCATGCCTATAATCCTAGCTACTTGGGAGGCTGAGGCAGGAGAATCGCTTGAACCTGGGAGGCAGAGGTTGCAGTGAGCCAAGATTGTGCCACTGCACTCCAGCCTGGGCAACAGAGCCAGACACCGTCTCAAAAAAAAAAAAAAAAAAAAAAAAAAAAGCAGGTGGAGACATTAAATCACTAAATATGTGGCTAAACGTAAATGAATATTTACAGACCAGACATTGATAATGTTATTGTGGGGCTTAAAATATTTGTAGTCTGAAAATGTGTAACACCAATAGCAAAAATAGTGAGGCGGGTAAATGGAATTAATGCTCCAAGATCCTAGTATTGTCGTGGAAGTGGTAATAGTAATCATTGAAATTAGAGAGTAATAATTCATTTCTGTATAATCACTAAAAGGATTATAAAATCTAACAAGATCAAATGGCAGAAAAATGGAAAAATAAATACTTGATTGAGTCTTAAAGCAGTAAAGAAAAATAAAAAGAACAAAGAACAGATGGGACAAACAGAAAACAAATAAAGATTTAATCCAAAACAGATCAGAAAGTACATTAAATGCAAATAATCTAAATACTTTCATGTAAAGAGTTAGATTCATATCAAAACAGAACCGTATGGCATGCTTCTTACAAGAGACACACTTTATATGTAAGGATTAGTAAGGCAGAACATAAAATAATGAAAAAAAAATGCAGTGTATGAAACAACCACAAAAAGCAAGTGTTGCTAAGCTAATGTCAGACAGAAGAGAATAAGGCAAGAAGCATTATTAGAAATGAAGGAAACATTTAATAATGATAAAGGGTTGTCTTCATTAGAAGATTTTTCAAAAAATTTTAAACGTGTGTCTGTTAAGCAGAAATGGACAGAACAAAATGAAGTAGACAGATTCACATAGTGGTTACCTATGATAATGTGTTTATCAATAATCAGTAGTACAAGAGACCAAAGTATCTGTGAGATAGAATAATCTGTGAGATCTGAATAACACAACCATGACCTGAGTGACATATATAGCCCATGTACCCAACAGTAACCAAGTACACATTATTTTCAAGTGTACATGGTAGGTACATTTGTCAAAAGAGATCATGCATTTGGCCATAAAGCAAACCTCAGCCCACTATCAAATATAAATGGTAATTATTAGGAACATAAATGTGTACATCACTTAGATCTACATAGTCATAAGAAAGGGGAGAGAGATTAAAACTTTGTTTCAAAAATTGAAAAATAAGATAAATGGATGTTCCTAAAATAATACAGTTTACCAAAAGTGAAATAATTCTGTGACTAATTCTGTATATACTAAATGCATTGAATCTAAATTTAAATTTTTTTCACATATCTCCAGGCTCAGGTGGCTTCCCTGGAATTCTTCTAGATGTTTAAGGAAAAAATAATGCTAGTCTTACTCTCCCAGAAAACAGAAAGAGAGGAAGCACTTTTCAGTTTGTTTTATGAAACCATCATAACTTGACCCAAACCCCAAGAAAGAAATGACAGGAAAAGAAAATTGCAGACCTATTTCTGTCTTATCAACATGGGTTTAAGAGTTCTATGTAGAGTATTAACTGTCAGATCCAGCAGTATTTAAATATAATTTATCATGACAACATCAACTTTTCAAGTATCAAAACTGGCTTAATATTCACATATCAGCAAATCAAATTCACCCTTAATTAACAAATTAAGGAGGGAAATTTTATCTCAGTAGGTAGGTAGAAAACATTTGGTGAAATTTAACATCTTCCTATTAGTAACATCTTAACTAGAATAATAGGGGACTTATTTTATCTGACTATGTAGCAAACATCTATAACAACTATTGAATTATTTAATGGTGAAATACTAAAATTTTTCCCCCTGAGATTGATGCCTGGTATCACCACTTCTGTTCAACATGGTATTGGAGGTCCTAGTCAGTGCAGTAAGGCCAGAACAAAAAAAAAGTAAAGAAAGAAGGAAACTATCACTCACAAATTATTTTAAATACATAGAAAATTCAAAATAACTTGCAGATAATTTATAGTAAATTCATCAGTTATCACTGTATACAAGGTCAGTATTCAAAAATTGTGTTTTTATGTATACCAATGAATAGAACATGAACATGTTATGATGATACCACTTAAAATAACTTAAAAGGATCAGATAGCCAGGAATAAATCTGACCTGATGTGCAAGACTTCTAAATTAACATTATAAAGAGATATGAAAAAACTTAATGGAATGATATAATGTATTCATTGATTATGAGACTAATGTTAGTCTATCCTACTAACTGATCTATGAATTAAATGCAATTTCAGTTAAAATATCAAATACCAGCAGATGCGTATGTGTCAGAGAGAGAGGGGAGAGAACGGGAGGGGAGAGCTTTCAAACTGATTTTAAAACATATATGGAAAAGCATGGAGCTAAGCTGGATATCAAGATATATTATAAAGCTATAATCATTTGAAACATTGTATAATTGGCACAGGGAGAAACAGAGATCAGTTGCTCCAGAAACAGACCTACATATATTACATTCACTTGATGTACAGTAAAGATGACACTGGAGTGTGGCTGAGAAAGGGTGATGTGTTTTTTTGTGGGTTTTTTTTTTTTTTTTTTTGAGACAGAGTCTTGCTCTGTCGCCAGGCTGGAGTGCAGGGGCACAATCTCGGCTCACTGCAACCTCCGACTCCCTGGTTCAAGTGATTCTCCTGCCTCAGCCTCCTGATTAGCTGGGATTACAGGCATGCGCCACCACCCCCAGCTAATTTTTGTATTTTTAGTAGAGATGGGGTTTCATCATGCTGGCCAAGAGGGTCTCGATCTCCTGACCTCGTGATCCACCCGCCTCATGCAGGGATTACAGGCGTGAGCTACCAGGCCTGGCAGGATGATGTTTTAATGAATGTTGCTAGGTCTAGGGGGAAAAATTAATCTTGACTTTCTATCTTACACCATATACAAAAATCATTTCTGGATGAATTGTAGATCTAAATACGAGGGTAAAATAATGAAACTTCTTTTTTTTTAATAATGAAACTTCTATTAGAAAACTTCAGAGAATAATGTCACAACTTGGAATGGGGGGAAAATCCTAAACAGGATATAGAAAGTACTAATCTTAATGGAAAAATTGGTATTTTGGGTCACATTATTGTTAAGACCTTTTGTTCATTAAAGACACCATCAAGAAGGTGAAAAACCAAGCCTGATGAATATGTACAGAATTTCTACAAATCTGTTAAAGGACAAGCTAGTAGAAAAGTGGGCAGAGTGCTTGAATAGACACTTCACAGAAACACAAAAAGGATATCTAAATGGTTAGATGTATGAAAAGGTATTCAGCTTCATTAACCATCAGGAAAATTACATAAAACTGTACTCTGAGGCCACTTGCATATACCCTGGAATGGCCAAAATGAAAAATACAGGTGGTACAAAGTACTCACAAGGATGTGGAACAGTTGGAACTCTCATACTGCTGGCAAGTCTGTAAATTGGTGCATCCACTTCGGTAATCTGTGGAGACTGAACATACACAAACCCTATGATCTGCCATTTCCACTCCTAGCTATATACCCTATATAATTGCATACATATTTTCACCAAAGGATAAGAACATTTAAGCAGCCTTGTTAGTAGTCACCAAAAACTGAGGAAACAACCCAGATTTCCATCAAGAATCTACCACAATGAATCAATTGTGGTATATGAATGGAATGAATATTGGACCCATCATTGTGGGTTAATCTTACAAGCATAACATTGACTAAAAGACACAAAAGAATATATACTATATAATTCCATTCATGTGAAGTTCATAAGGCAAAATTAATTGTGTTAGAAATTAGGATAGTGATCACTGATGGAGAAAAGGGGTGGAGGTGCTTCTGCAGTGTCTAATGTTCCCTTTCTTTATTGAGCTACTAATTACACAGGTGTGTTCACTTTGAGAAAATTCCTCAAACGGCACTTAGACGGTTTGTATACTTTTCTGTACATCTATTACAGTTCAGTATGTTTACTTCTAAAATATAGTGAGGGTACCTTCTGTGTACTTTCTATATGCTTTAAATTTTCCTTGATAAAAAGGTAGTTAAAAGAGAAAACTAATTTGTGGTATTAGAAGCCTGGATAGTGGTTATTTTTGAGAAGTTAGACATGCTGATCAGGTGAGGCTTCAAGAGGCACTTAGGAAGTGCTCATAATGTTCTATTTCTTGATTATGAGTGCTGGTTACGTGAGTTGATGGACTTTGTGGAAATTTAATGAGCTATGATTATGATTTATTTACTTTTCTCTATGACTGTTACACTCTAGTAAAAAGTTTGCCTAAAATAAGAAAGTAGCAAAGAAAGAAATAATGAGAAGGGTTAGACGAAATAAAATTTGCTGATTATTGGTAATTATTGAAGCTGGGTGATAAGCGAGGGATCTTTATGTGTTCTCTACTTTTGTGTATGTTTGAAAAGATCCATAATGATAATTAAGATAAACTATAGGAATAGAAAGCAGACGCAGACAATTTGTTCCTGGATGGGGATGACAGAGAGGAGCAGGAGAAAGGAAATATAGAGAATAAAAGGAAATTTTGTGGTTTAAGATAAATATATTGTCTTGATTGTGATGATGCTTTCAGAACTAACCAAATAGTCAAATAATGCAAAAAACAAAAACAAACAAAAAACCCCAGAAAACTTAGGTTCAACTTATTCCAACTGCTGTCATCTACCTGGAAGAAGACCAGACACTAGTAACAACTTAATACTTGCTAAATAAATTAATGACTGGGGTGCCATTTGGCATATTATTGGTCTACATTTTTTTTAACTATAGAAAATATTGATCATGAGTTTCTTACAGGTAAGTTACAGATTATTTGAAAGAAGTATGTACATGTAATCAGAGGTCCACACTCAGGGATGCTCTGAGATAAGCTATGTCAGATGAATAAGGCACTGAAGCAGCTTTTCTGGAGATGAAAGGCAGCCAGCCAGCGTTGATTCCCAGGCTTGGTTTATTAGCATCATGACCTGGGCAAAACTTTCATCACCTGGTGAGGATAATTTATTCCTCTCCCTAGCCTCATCAAGGTATAATTGACAAATGGAAATTGTATATATTTAAGGTATACAACATGATATATGTATACATTGTGAAGTGATTGCCACAGTCAAACTAATGAACATAACCATCACTTCACATAACTA
Source organism: Homo sapiens (assembly GCF_000001405.40). NCBI lineage: Eukaryota > Metazoa > Chordata > Mammalia > Primates > Hominidae > Homo > Homo sapiens. The sequence continues at coordinate 125,250,176 of NC_000003.12, read as the reverse complement.
TCTTTTGTGTGTGTGGTGAGAACGCTTAAGATTTACTCTCAACAATTCCATGTTTACAAATTATTAACTATAGGTCCCATGCTATATATCTCCAGAACTAACTCATCTTACAACTGAAAGTTTGTAACCTTTGACCAAAATCCTCCCATTCCCCCTTACCATAGCTCCTGGTGACTATTATTCTACTCTGTTTTTTTAATTCTGCCTCTTTAGATTCCACCTATAAATGAGATCATGCATGTTTGTCTCTCTGTGTCTGGCTTATTTCAACTAATATAATGTCCTCCAGATTCATCCACATTGTCACAAATGACAGGCTTTCCTTTTTTAAGCTGAATAATATTTCATTATGTACACACACACCCCCCACATTTTCTTTATCCATTCATCCATTGACAGACGCTTGGGTTGTTTCTATATCTTGGCTATTGTGAATAATGCTACAGTGAATGTTCAGATATCTCTTTAAGATAATGATTTCAGTTCCTTTGGATATATAGCCAGAAATGAAATTACTGGATCATATGGTAGTTCTATTTTTAGTTTTTTTTTGTTTTTTTAGGAACCTCCATACTGTTTTCCATAATGGCTCTGTCAGTTTACAATCTCGGCAGCAGTGTGCAGTGGTTTCTTTTCTTCACAGCTTCACCAACACTTGTTATCATTTGACTTTTTGATAATAGCCATCCTAACAGGTTTGAGATGACATCTCATGCTTTTGACTTGCATTTCCCTGATGATTTGTGATGTTGAGTACATTTTTATATGCCTGTTGGAAAAATGTGTGGTCTTCTTTGGAAAAATGTATATTCAGGTCCTTTGCCCATTTTAAAAGTAGGCTATTTGTAGGTTTTTGCTATTGAGTTGTATGAGTTCCTTTTGCATTTTGGATATTAGCTTTTCTTGATGAATATATGGCTTGCAAATGTTTTTTCCCATTCCATAGGTTATCTTTTCATTTTGTTGAGCATGTTGAAACTTTTCAGTTTGACGTCCTACTCATTTATTTTTGCTTTATTTGCTTATGGTTTTGTTGTCATATCTACAAAATCATTACCAAGACCCATGTCAAGGAGCTTTCTCCCATGCTTTCTTCAAGGATTTTTATGGTTTCAGGTCTTATGTTTAAGTCTTTAATCCTTTTTGAGTTGTTTTTTCGTGTATGGTGTACAAGAATAGAGATTTAAGCTTTAAAGAGAGAAATAAGACAGGTATTCTAGATTGAAATGCAAATTACACCTGCATTTTTAAGATGACACTTTAAGAAATAGACCTCTTGCAGCAGAACACTTCGTGTTCCTGGAACCTGTAGTGCTTGTTTATTCTTTTTAGATATTTAATTGACAGCCAAATCCAGAAGAGATAGCTGCTGAATTTGTCACTAATTCTGAGTCTGATTCTCTCGTTTCTTTGCATAAAAGTAGTGTTAATGCTCTGTGCTCAAATTAGAGCACCTAAACCATGTTTCTGAAATACAGTGTATATGAAATTAAAGTGTAAGTTGCAGCTAGTATAAAAAAAGCAAATCATTTTATTGTGGCAGAATAATAGTGACATCGTATGGGTGGGCAAAAAGCCACAGGACCCTGATTAGGAAAATGATTTTAGTCATGAAAAAAGTATGCTTTCTGAGAGAATGGTCCTTCATCTTTTATACCCTAGTTAATTTTTTTAAAGGGAAGAAAGCCGATGTGCATTTTTACAGTTCTATATGAAGAGTAAGCTGATGATGGGTTTCTTTTAAGGGGACTCAACATAGAGTTATCAGATTTGGTAAGTCCATTATGGGCTTAATGTAGCCTTCACTGCTGAGCTCTTATTATAGGGCACTTGTTTTCAGGAGGTAGCTGGAAATTGGGGGGCTTATATCAAGTTCAGAAATAGACATGACTAATTTAAAATGTTAGAAGTCAGGATACTTTTTAGTAAACATTGTTTTTAAAAATCTGTTGTACGTTTTGGGATTCTAACTCATTTGTGTTTGGTAAGAATTCACTGGTGCCTACATATCCAGCCATTTTACTAATTTTACATACGTCATATTTAGATGGTGTTTACAGTAACTGCTGTTGCTTTAATTTAGGTCTTGTACTGCATAGGTGCCATCATTGGAACATCAATTATTTAGTGTTAATATGCTTAGATGCTAGTACCAGTTGTGTACCGAGTGTATAACTGGCTGATAGAAAAGTGAGATGTGGAAGTGTCATAAATATATGGTGTTCAGCTTATTTTGGAATTAGGACAATGGTTTTTTTGTTTTGTTTTGTATTTTTCATGTATACTTCCTAGATCAACTCTCAGATCTTTAATTTGTGCATAGGGCTTCCTGAGGATGTTGCTCTTACTAGAGGTAATTGATCAGTTTTCATTGATGGCTCCCTCATAAAGTGGAAGTTTAAAACCTAATCTGTGGAAGCCACGAAACAGTTTCCCTCAGCCAGTCATGGTGGCTCACACATGTAATCCCAGCACTTTGGGAGGGCGAGACAGGCAGATCACCTGAGGTCAGGAGTTTGAGACCAGCTGGGCAACATGGTGAAACCCTGTCTCTACTAAAAATACAAAAAAATTAGCCTGGCCTGGTGGTACGTCCCTGTAATCCCAGCTACTCAGGAGGCTGAGGCATGAGAATCGCTTGAACCTCAGGAGGCAGAGGTTGTGGTGAGCTGAGGTTGCGCCACTGCACTCTAGCCTGGTTGACAGAGTGAGACTCTGTCTCAAAAAAAAAAGTTTTCCTGCTCTCATTTGCTGTTTCATCCTAAGAAACTTGAGAAATAGACTACTTTAAATATTACAGTGTATATAAATGTGTAATTTCATAACTCTGCAAAAGAAAACCCAGAAAAAATAATTTTTTAAACTTTCTTTTTGGGGAGGGAGGAGTTAGTGACCCCAATCTGTTATTTTACAAAATGGGCAAACATTGCCAATCTTTCTGAAGTTTGAAATGCAGAATTTGAAGTTTCTCACTGCCCTGCGTTCTAGGGAAAGAAAACCATTCTATACTAGAAAGGTGTTATTTAAAAAGTTTGATACCCAGAAAAATTAATTATTTCATTAGTTACCATAATGCCTGTGAGTTTTTTGCCACTTTGATTTAACTGACATTGACATGTCTTTGTGTTAGTGTTGCAGCTTCTCAGTTTTTATATTCTACTTCATTGGTTGTAATTTAGTCTCAGATGATTTCCTATAGGATGTAATTTCCTGCATAGTATATGGGTTCTACTTAGCCTGATAAATGATCTTTCCAACCTCCTGGAAGCACTATATGCCAAAGATATTCTGATATTTTCTAAAGTTTTAAGGAAAATTATTGGGTATGTAGTTATTAGTCCATGGATTTATTTTAGTAATTGTCATTGTTTCACCTTTTCTCAAGTTTATTGTTCAGCTTAAGGATATTTTCATTTAGGATATATAGCCCAGACACTGGGTTATAATTATAATCAATATGTAAGTATGGTTATAATTATAATCAGTATGTACGTATAATCAATATGTAAGTAATCATTTGTTATCAACCTCCTCATTCCTGTTCTTAATAGCTAACATTTTTTGAGCTGTTATACTACTGTGCTAGGCTTCTTTCTTAAATTCCTACTTCACATTAATTATCTCATTTAACATTTGGCTCTGAGGTATATTCTATTATTTCCATTTTGCAGATGAGAATATAAAGTCGTAGAAGTTTAAATACATGCTTATTTCTCACAGTAAGAAATGCTGAGACCAGCATTAAAACTCAGCTCATCTGGCTGTAGAACCTGTACTCTTAAGTACTATTTTATGTTGCATCACATAATGGTACATGATCTTTTTTTGGTTAGTGTAATAGTTATGATGCTTGAAAATTTTATTGTCTACCCTTTGTAATTTATTAAATATGGATGTTTCCTTGTGTTGTCAAGTGTGTTTATTATGCCATGTTAACTTTGTCATAGTCTCATCATTATTTTTCACCCAGATTTTATGAAGACCCTTTATTATTAAAATAATTTTCACATATATTCTGATTAATACAACAGTGGATACCATTTTTTGAGTATTAAGTGCTTTACATTTGCTGTCATAACAAAGAATTGATTTGGGGAAGTTTTGTAGAAAAAAATCAGCAGAAAATGATTATGGAGGTAAGAAAAAAGCATGGTAGTTTAGGAATAGAAAGAAAGCCACTTTGATTAGAGCTCAGAAAGCAGAGTGGGGAATTGCGAAGACAGGTCAGACACAAGAAAGGTAGGGGCCAGAAGAATAGAGGACCCTGTTTTAATTTTTATTCTTAGAACAGCAGAAGACCAATAGTATGCTTTAAACATGATCAGATTTACTTAAATAAACAGAGGCTGGCTGTAATGTGGAATTAGAAGAAGATAATAGATCCCAGAGAAACTACTCCTTAGGAGGATATTATGTGATAGGCTAGACCACAGGATGATGGTGTCTTGACCTTTGGGTGATGACAGTGGGAAGTGGAGAGAAGTGAACAGATTTGATAGGTATTTAGTAGGCTGAATCAGTAGGGCCTGTCAATTGTCCAAATATGGAGAGAGGATAAAGAAGAAAAAAGCTGTACAGTTCTCTCATTTGTGCAGTTTAGAGGGGAGAGGAGTGCCATTTGTGGCATAAGCTGTAAGTTGAAGATTGTATTAGTCCATTCTCACATTGCTGTAAGGACATACCCAAGACTGGTAATTTATAAAGAAAAGAGGTTTAATTGACTCACAGTTCCACATGGCTGGGGAGGCATCAGGAAACTTGCAATCATGGTGGAAGGGGAAGAGGCAAGTCTTACGTGGTGGCAGGTGAGAGAAAGCGAGCAAGAGCAGGAAAATTGTTTTAGAAAGCAGTCAGATCTCGTGAGAACTCACTATCAGGAGAACGGCATGAGGGGAAATGCCCCCATGATCCAGTCACCTCTCACCTGGTCCCTCTTTGACACATGGGGATTATGGGGATTACAATTTGAGATGAAATTTGGGTGCGGAACAGAGCCAAACCATGTCACAGTCCCTAAGTTTATTGTGGGATATGATGTATTTGAGATCCTTAAGTGTTACAGAAGTGGATATATTACATAAGCAGTTTGGATATGTGGTTTTGGAGATCTTGAGAGTAATTAAAGCTATGGATAGATGGGCTTCCCTTCATGCCAAAGAGAAAAATATAGAATGAGATAAGCAGAAAGCTTGTTTTGAAGAACTAAAACATTTCACATTTGGAAGGAAGAGGGTGAGCTGGAAAGACCACTGAGAAGGAGCAGTTGGAGAGGTTGAAGGAGTATGGATGTCATAGATGCCAAGGCAAAAGTGAGTTTCAAGAAAAAGAAAGGGATCACTTTGAGTTGAATGCTTGTTGAGAGGACTAGTAAGATTTCTGGGCCAGGTGCGATGGCTCATGCCTGTAATCCCAGCACTTTGGGAGGGCAAGGCGGGTAGATCACTTGAGGTCAGGAGTTCAAGACCAGCCTGGCCAACATGGTGAAACCCCATCTCTACTAGTAATACAAAAATAAGCTGGGCATGGTGGTGCATGCCTGTAATGCCAGCTACTCAGGAGGCTGAGGCAGGAGAATCACTTAAACCAGGGAGGTGGAGGTTGCAGTGAGCCGAGATGGCACCATTGTCCTCCAGCCTGGGGGACAAGAGCGAAACTCCGTCTCAGAAAAAAAAAAACAAAAAAGATTTCTGAAGAGACTTGGTTGTATTGGTGACCTGAGTGTGATTTACAAGAACCATTTTGATATGGTGGGTCATTGCAGCAGCCGGATGGAATGGTTTGAAGAGGGAAAGGAAGGTTTGCAGTTGCCAAAAATCAGATTAGTATGTCAAACCATAGTGAGCTAGATTATACATAAATCTTATGTCTTTATAACTCTCTCATATATAGTTTACCTTAACAGTTACCCATATATTATAGTAAAAATTTTTATCCATAAACAGCTGATTGTGTGCAATGTCAGAGTTACCAGGGAGAAACATCACATTGGGGAAACAGTCTCACTGGAAAACTGTTAGAAGAGAAACTTTAGGGCCCTTGGGTAGGGGAAAATTATCATTTTGTGGGACACCTGGAGATTGTTTTTTTCCTTACCGTGTTATTGCTTTCCTGGATGTAAAAAACATTTAAAATTTCTTGATACTTTTCAGATAAGCTTTTTGTGTCATTCTTGAAATCACTCAAGTGCTGTATAGATTTATCTTCCTTTTCCAGTAGAGAGGCTTTAGCCCTCAAGGGGAAAAATGATAAAGGGATTTTCTCAATAAGGGAATTTTTCATTTAAGTGTTTTTATTTTTCTCAGGAAAAATAGATATCAGTCATTTTATTCTTATTTCAAGAATCAAGAAACAGGTCAGACGTGGTAGTTCATGTCTGTAATCACAATACTTTGGGAGGCTGAGTTGGGAGGATCACTTGAGGCCAGGAATTCGAGACCAGTCTGGACACCGTAACAAGACCCTGTCTCTATAAAAAAAATTTTCTTAATTAGCTGGGCATGGTGGTGCATGCCTGTGGTCCTGGCTACTTGGGAGGCTGAAGTTGGGGAGGATCACTTGAGCCCAGGAGTTCACGGCTGCAGTGAGCTATGATTGTGTCACTCCACTCCAGCCTGGGTGCCAGAGTGAGACCCTGCTCTTCAAAAAAAAGAATCAGAAACATACGAAAGTACACACATCAGGAATAAGATGTAGAGCCCATTATCACTACTTCTTTTTAATTGTTTGAGAATAGTGGATGAGAAAAATAAGTTAAAAAATATTTTCTGCAAGCAATATGATTATAAACTTGGAAAACCCAAGAGGTTCAACTGAAAAATTACTGCAAATAAGTAAATTCATTAAAATAGCAGAAAACCATACCCTTTGTATAGCCACACACACATACGCAGGGAATAGAAGATATAACAGAAGAAAACACTCTTTTCACAATATCAATGAGAAGACAAGCCCAGGAATGAATTTAAGAAGATGTAGAAAATCCCATATGAGGAAATCATTCAAAGCACTACGGAGGATACAAAGGTTTGTGAAATGGGAAGGCGTATCTTTTTTCTTCCTAGGTGAAAAGAGTAAACATGGTAAATAATATCAAATTGTTCATAAGTTAACATAAACACTTCAGAGAACTCTCCTCCCTCTAATTCTAGATAAGCTAATTCTGAAATTTATATGGAAAGTGGTCCAGCAGGACAAACGAGAAGAATGCAGAAAAAGCAATGAGGAAGATTAGCCTTACCAACAATAAAGGATATTATAAAGGCTTATGAATTGAAACATTTTGGTTCTGGCTTATGAACAGTCACACTAGTGGAACAGATGAGCAGGTCTAGGGATAGACCCATGGAACTTAATTAGTGTGTGATTATGATAAAGGAATGGTAAGTGTGATCAAGAAAAGCTGAACTTTTCAACAAATGGTGTTGGGGAAACTGGATAGCCATCTGAAAAAACAAAAGTTTTGTCCATACCTCACATTCTGCCTCAAGATAAGCTCCAAATATATGAGGATTTGTTTTTCATTTTTGTTTTTTTTGTTTTTGTTTTTGAGACAAGAGTCTCACCCCTTTGCCAGGCTGGAGTGCAGTGGCGCAGTCTCGGCTCACTGTAACCTCTGCCTGCTCCCCGACACCAGATTCAAGCAATTCTCCTGCTTCAGCCTCCCAAGTAGCTGGGATTAGGCGTGTGCCACCACGCTTGGCTAAGTTTTGTATTTTTAGTAGAGACGGGAAATTTTGTCATGTTGGCCAAGCTGGTCTCAAACTCCTGACCTCAGGTGATCCACCTGCCTCGGCCTCCAAGAGTGCTGGGATTATAGGCATGAGCCACTGCACCCGGCCATATGAGAGATTTAATGTAAAAAATGAAACTTAACAGTTTAAACTTATGTGTCTGAAAATATGAGCAGATCGGAGTGGAGAAGTCTTTTCTAAATAACACTCAAAATCCAGTATCCATAAAAGAAAAGATTGATACATTCAACTACATAAAAATGAAAATCTCTACTAGCAAACAACTCTACCCCTACCATTCAAGGGCAGGGGAAAGGCCAGGAAAAAATCCTGAAACTCATTATAGACAAAAGACCAACCTTCTTAATAAAGCTATTTCAAGTCATCAAGCAAAAAACCTGGAACTACAAAAAAGTAGGTGGAAGATACGAGCAGACAGTTCGCAGAAGATGAAATATAAGATGGCTCCATCCACCTCCTGCTGAGATAATGTTTTTTCACCTATTAGATATGTAGTCATCAGAAAGTTTGACAACATAGTGAGTTATAGGGAAATAGTAACACATCCATGGCTGGTATGGGAGTACAGATTCATAGCATTTCCTGTGGAGACCAGTTTAGTAATACATTTCAAAATCATGAACATATGTTTTATTTGTCCAGAAATTCTTTTTATGAGTGTTTATTCCACAAATATACCTGCATATATGTGAATTAATACATTTACAAGTTATCCAGTACAAAATCATAATAGCAAATGTTGGGAAATGATAGAGGATTGATTAAATAAATTGTAGTATGTCTTTCCATCAGTGAAAAATAAATAACATCCGCTGTCAGAAAGAATGAGCTAATTCTCTTTCTGCTGCTAAGATCTCCAAAATACATTGTTGACTGAAGGAAAAAGAAAAGATAAGAACAGTGAATTAAATATGCTATCTTTGTAAAAGAATGAGGGAAAAGTAGAAAAGATTATGTATTCATTTTTACTTATGTTGTGTCAAGAAACCTGGCCAGGTGCATGCCTGTAATCCCAGCTACTCAGAAGGTGGGAATATCACTTGAGTCCCTGAATTCGAGACCAGCCTAGGCAATATAGCGAGACCCTGTCTTTAAAAAAAAAAAAAAAGAAAGAAAGAAAAAAGAAAGAAACTCTGTAAAGAAACTCGCACAAACAAATAAATGTAGTTACCTTTGTCGGGGCCAAAGATAGGAGGAAGACATTTTCCTGTATACTCTTTTTAAGTGTTTTGATTTTTTTTTAACTCTGTAAATACATTCCCTAATCCATAAATAGGGATCCTTAAGTGGCAAAACTTAAATTTTAAAAATATCTAGAATGGCTAGTTTTAAAAGAAAGGAATGGAGATGAGTATAAGAATGGGAGGGAGGAAAAGGGATATGAAAAAAGATGGTACAGTAAAAAAGGAAGGAAATATGTACTAAAGGAGAACAAGAGACAGGAATAAAAAATGAGAACCAATCAAAAAATAATAAATGACCATGGAAGGTGAATTTATGTTTGCATTCATTTTTGACTGAGTTAGCCATCATAATTGCTCTATTTAGTTGGGAGGAGGATTGTTTTTAGCAACAAAAGAACATTTGTACAAATTACTTTTAAGGCGTTAATGTTTCTGGTTTTGTTTTGGTTTTTGGTTTTTGGTTTTTTTTTTTTTTTGCAGACAGGATCTTGCACTTGTCACCCAGGCTGGAATGCAGTGGCGCAATCACAGCTCACTGCAGCCTCAACCTCCCAGGCTCAAGTAATCCTGCTGCCTGCACCTCTGAGTAGCTGGGACCACAGACATGTGCCACCACACCCTGCTAATTTTAAAAAATTTTTTGTAGATACAGGGTCCACTGTGTCACCCAGACTGGTCCTGAACTTCTAGACTCAAGTGATCCTCCCGCCTGAACCTCTCGAAGTGCTGGGATCAGTGGCTTGAGGCAGCACACCTGGTTGACTTTTTTGTTAAAGGAAATGCCGTAGTGTTGCTTTTAGTTAAATAAACTGTTAATTATTGGTTCATCTATTAGAATGTAGCAAGTAATTTAAACATGGGTTTTCTCCAGTTTGTGTATGTATGTGTGTATTTATTCATTCAGAGACGGTGGCTTGGGGGTGTTTCGCCATGTTAGCCAGGCTGGTCTTGAACTCCTGGCTTTAAGTGATCCGCCTGCCTCATCCTCCCAAAGTGCTGAGATGACAGACGTGAGGCGCTGCACTCGGCTTTCTCCAGTTAATTTCTTTTTAATTAATCTTGAGCTCCTTGAGGGAAAAAAATAACTTCTCACTTTGCATAGTATCAATTGTATTACCATGCATATTTAAAAATAACGTTACTGAGATATAATTCACAATTTCAGAAAACCCACCCATTTAAAATGTATAATTCATTAGTTTTTAGTATGTTCACAGAGTTGTACAACTATCACCACTATCTGGTGTTTAGAATATTTTTGTCACCCCCCAGAAGAAAACCTATACCTGTTAGTAGTCACTCCCCATTCTCCACTCCCTTCCAGCCCTGGGTCACCATTAATCACTTTCTGTCACTGTGGATTTGCCTATTTGGGGCATGTGTGTAGCCTGCACTTTCTTTCTTTTTATAGTTGAGTAATATTCCATTCCATTTTTATAGTTGGATATGTCACATTTTCATTCACTTATTGGTTGAGGGACATTTGGGCCGTTTCCTCTTTTGGCCATTGTGAATAATGCCGCTATGAATACTTGTGCATGAGTTTTTGTGTGAACTTCACATTTTTAGTTGTCTTGGGTATGTGCTTAGGGGTGAAATTGCTGGGTCATATTTAACATTTTCATGGTCTGCAAAACTGTTTTCCAAAGCACTTAATACCATTTTACAGTTCTACCAGCCTTGTATGAGGGTTTCAATTCTCTACATCCATGCTTTTGTTATTATTATTTTAGCCATCCTCGTGGGTGTGAAGTGGTGAAATCAAGTGAAATCTTGTGGTTTTGATTTATATTTCCCTGATGATCATGATGGTGAGCATCTTTTCATGTGCTGATTGGTCATTTGTATATCTTCTTTGGAGAAATGCGCATTCAGATCCATTGCCTATTTTTAAATTAGTTGTGTGTTTCCCATTGAGTTGTAAGAGTTCTCTTTATATTCTGGATACACGTTCCTTATCTGATACATGATTTGTAAATATTTTTTATTCCATTCTGGAGTTATGTCTTCACTTTTTTACAACCATACCATGAAGTTTATCATAAGTGTGCAATTCAGTGACATTAAGTACATATATAATGTTGTGTAACCGAATAGAAACTCTGTACCCATTAAGCAATAACTCTCTTTTCCCCTCTTCTTCAGTCCTGATAACCACTGTTCTACTTTCTATCACTCTGAATTTTCCTGTTCTAGATACCGCATATAAGCAGAATCATTCCACATTTGCCCTTTTGTATCTGGCTTCTACATTTAGCGTAATGTCTTCAAGATTCACTCATGTTGTAGTATGTATCATAATTTCATTTTTCTAGGTGAATAATACTTCATTCTTTGTATGTGTCACATATTTCTATCCATTCATCTGTTGATGGACACTTGGGTTACTTCTGCCTTTTGTCTATTTTGAATAATTCTGTGATCAGTGTTGGCATACAAGCATCTGTTTGAATCCATGTTTTCAATTCTTTTAGATATGTACCTAGGAATGGAATTGCTGGGTCATGTGATAATTCTGTTAAACTTTTCGAGGAAGTGCCAAACTCTTCCTCAGTCCCAACAGCAGACATATTTCCTAAATGTCATTTCATTTGTGTGTGCGTTTTTTTTCCTTTAGACAGAGTCTTTTTCTGTCGCCCAGACTAGAGTACAGTGGTGTGATCTCGGCTCACTGCAACCTCTGCTTCCCAGGTTCAAGTGATTCTCCTGCCTCAGCCTCCTGAGTAGCTGGGATTACAGGAGTGTGCCACCATGCCTGGCTAATTTTTGTATTTTTAGTAGAGACAGGGTTTCACCATGTTGGCCAGACCGGTCTTGAACTCCTGACCTCAAGTGATCCACCCGCCTCTGCCTCCCAAAGTGTTGAGATTACAGGTGTGAGCCACAGTGCCTGGCCTATCTTTTCATTTTTTTGATAGTGTCCTTTGAAGCATGAAAGTTTTAAATTTTGATTAAGTCCAATTTATTTATTTTTTGTTTGCTTGTGCTGCTTTTGATTTTATATAGGAAACCATTGCCTAACTAAGGTCATAAGGATTTATTCCTATATTATATTCTACCATTTTTATAGTTTTAGGTCTCACACTTAGGCCTGTAATCCATTTTCAGTTAACTTTTGTTTATGATGTGAGAGGTGTGGGAGTTGGTTGGGGGGGGTCTAACTTCATTCTTTTGTATGTGGGTATCAAATTTGTTGAAAAGACTATTCTTTCCCCATTACCTTGGCACCTTTTTAGAAAATCAGTTGACCATAAATGTAAGGATTTACTTTTGGACTCTGAATTTTATTCCTTGATATGTATGTCTTGTCCTTAAGCTATTATCACAATATCTTGGTTATTGTGGTTTTGTAGTAAATTTTGAAATCTGGAAGTATAAGTCCTCCTGCTTCATTCTTCTTTTTCAAGATAGTTTTGGCTCTTTTAGATGCGAATTTTAAGATTAGTTCGTCAATTTCTGTTTTAAATCTGTAGATCAGTTTGAGGAGTTTTGCCATCTTAATGTTAAGTCTTCCAATCCACAAATATATAGAATTAATTGAATTGTAATCAACTTACTGATTTTTCTCTTTCATTATCACTTTTGATAAATAACTGTAACTTCTGACGTTAATGAGCTCTATCATCTACATTCTTTTTTAAATTTAGTTTAATTTTTTTTGAGATGGGGTCTCACTCTGTCACCCAGGTTGGAGAACAGTGGCTCGATCTTGGCTCTCTACAACCTTCACCTCCCAGGCTTGAACGATCCTTCCACCTCAGCCTCCCGAGTAGCTGGAACCATAAGTGCACACCATCACACATGGCTAAATTTTTGTATTTTTAGTAGAAACAGGTTTCCCCATGTTGCCCAAGCTGGTCTTGAACTCCTGAGCTCAAGCAGTTCACCCACCACAGCCTCCCAAAGTGCTGGGATTACAGGCATGAGCCACTGCACCCAGCTTTACCAGCTCTATTTCAAAATTTGCACGTATTCTTTCTTCCCCTGTCCAACAACATTGCCTGTAATCTCCTTCCCTTCCCATCTTGGTTCCTCTGGATTTTGTTCTTTTGATTGTGCACCATTTCGGCGGTATTCAGTATTGATAATCAGTTTCTCTTCACTGGCTCCTCTGCCTTCAGTCAATTCAGTCTCCCTGTCCTAAACAGTGCTTATTCTGGAATGGATTGCCTCTTAACTATTATTTCCCATCTCCATCTTCTCATTTCTTTCACTTCCAAACTTCCTTTATAAGTGACTTTCTCTCCCAGCTTCCATTGCTTCATTAGTTAATGCATTCATTACCCCTTGACCAAGTGCCTTAACTTTTCGGCCTTCAATATTTCCTTTCTGTAAAATGAGTGAATTGGTCTGGATTCATTGTAGTAAGCTGTCTTTCTAGTCTGAATCTTTGGAACCCTTACTTGGAGCCCCATTGTATACAAGTGAGCTATTCTGTACTAATTTTGAGTGGCAAGCTTTGAGCCTGTTGCCACATCAGCAGCCGTCCGTGTGGGCCTCTCGAGCTTGAAAGAGCACAGCTCAAAAGCCACGGGAAACGCTTCAGCTCTAAAATTTGGTAGCTCTGCAGTAATTACTGAAGTTACATTCCTGAAAGTTTTAAACAATTTACTTGTGGCCAAATTAAATTCTCTTCTTAGACACCATTTCTCCTGCACATTTTATAGTATCTAAACACTTAGAGTACTGTTATTTCCCTCCCCACCCCCAACATTTTTTTCCCCTTGGCTTTAATCTCTCTGCTACTCAGCTTAAATTTCAACACTTCTAAGAAACCATTCCAAATCATACTAGCTCATAGTAACATTTTCCCCTTAATAATCCACTGTAATGGTCACTATTTATGCCTTTCATTTGGCACTTAAAATTATCACAAGGGGCAAGGCGCAGTGGCTCATGCCTGTAACCCCAACACTCTGTGAGGGCAAGGCAGGAGGAGGATTGCTTGAGCCTGGAGTTCAAGACAGGCCTTGGGCAACATAGTGAGATCCCATCTGTACAAGAAAAAAATTTTTTTTTAATTGTGTAAGGTACTTTGAACTACATCAGTATAATTTAGGCCTGGATTCTGACCTAAAGAAATATAATCTAGTAGAAGAATAGAGATATGCAAAATAATTAAATATAATTATTTCTTTTTTTTTAATACTTTAAGTTTTAGGATACATGTGCACAATGTGCAGGTTTGTTACATATGTATACATGTGCCATGTTGGTGTGCTGCACCCATTAACTCGTCATTTACATTAGATATATCTCCTAATGCTATCCCTCCCCCCTCCCCCCACCCCACAACAGTCCCCGGTTTATGATGTTCCCCTTCCTCTGTCCAGGTGTTCTCATTGTTCAATTCCCACCTATGAGTGAGAACATGCAGTGTTTGGTTTTTTGTCCTTGTGATAGTTTGCTGAGAATGATGGTTTCCAGCTTCATCCATGTCCCTACAAAGGACATGAACTCATCCTTTTTTATGGCTGCATAGTATTCCATGGTGTATATGTGCCACATTTTCTTAATCCAGTCTATCGTTGTTGGACATTTGGGTTGGTTCCAAGTCTTTGCTATTGTGAATAGTGCAGCAGTAAACAACTCAGTAATTTGAAATTTAAAAAAAGTTTAACTCAATGATTATTGAGTTGAAAGTACTGAGTGCCATAGAAGAGGTACAGATAGAATTCTGTGGAAACTTAAAGATACCTTTCACCTGGGAGAAAAGGACAGAGTATCCCAAAGGAGATGGGTTGGGTCTCAAAGGGAATATAGTATTTGAACACCCAAAGGTGGACATTCCCAATCGAAGGAGCAGCGTGAATCAGGGCAAAAGTAGGAAAGCATGAGATGGTAGGTATTTCGGTTTGTCTGAAAGGGTTACCAAGAGAAAGAGTGAAATATAAAGATGTAAAAGTAAATCAGAATAGACATAGTGTTGTTAGTTGTCTTTTTAAAATGTGTGTATCTTGTTTTCCCAATTATGTTATAAACTTTGAAGACAAGTAGTATGTCTTATACTTTTAACCTCCTACAACAAGGGGTTTGGATATAGTAGTAGTATTTGGTAAAAATTTTGTTAAATGTATGAAAGGGAGAAACAGTAGTTTCCCCAACAAGCATTATTCAAGGTAACTTCTTGTCATACCCTTCTGTTTACTTAGACTGTGGTTTTATCAGTAAAAACTATTTTAGAGCTTCATAGTAGTGGTTCTTTACAGCTTAGAAATCATTGCGGGGGCCAGTGGCACAATGGATAACACACCTGACTATGAATCAGAAGATTCTAGGAGTCATTAGGGGATTTTCAAAAATGGGGGTTATGTGTTATGTGTCCAATTAACAATACTCAGTTTAATTCATTCCCTAAATGATATGGGAAGTGCTGGCTTGAGTTGAGGAAAAGAATAAATATAAACAAACTTAAGACTCTAAGTTCTTTTTGTATTTTATTAAATTAGATTTTAAAGGATATTTTCAGGATTCAGATTTTATTTAACCACAAATGTTTTAAAAAAGGAATTGAGTTAAAAAACTGTCTCCAGGAATTGTGTTGTATTGTGCATGGGTAACTTTTTGTTTTTTACTGTTATACAATATTTTATATGATTGAAAAAAAGATTAGAAACATCAGCTAGTCTGTTCATATTGCTATAAATTCCTGGCACTGCTGTTCTCCTTGGAAAGAGGGTATTACATACGCACATAACAAAAAGACAGGAAAATGGACTGTGCCTGTATTCATCCTTTTCTTTCCAATAGCATATGCTAATCCTTTTCATTTTTATAAAGCAAAATATATTTGACAAATGAAATTGGAAGTTACAACTTTCAAAAGCCATTTATTTTAGAGATTCTTATGGCAAAGCAATTCATTATTTTACAATATTTGTTTTGTTTTAAACTTTCTATATTATGTGCTAGGTGAAAAACCATTTCGCTGTGATGAATGTGGTATGAGATTCATACAAAAATATCATATGGAAAGGCATAAGAGAACTCATAGTGGAGAAAAACCTTACCAGTGTGAATACTGTTTACAGGTAAGAGAGATGGCTTGAAATTCTTCTACTGTAATTAAATTATACAATAATTATAAATTAGATTAGAAAATATTACAACTTAGAGCTATTTAAGGGGCCTTCTAACTCTTACAGATTAGATTTATAATAGAAAATTGGCTCAGTGAATTTGTTTGGAATTATGTATGTTATTGCATTAATATATCTTTATATTAATTGTTTTGTTTCACTTTTTCTTTTCTTGGTTGACCAAAACCACAAACAACCCACTACCATCCTCTGAATTCAACAGTATTTTTCCAGAACAGATCGTGTATTGAAACATAAACGTATGTGCCATGAAAATCATGACAAAAAACTAAATAGATGTGCCATCAAAGGTGGCCTTCTGACATCTGAGGAAGATTCTGGCTTTTCTACATCACCAAAAGACAACTCACTGCCAAAAAAGAAAAGGCAGAAAACGGAGAAAAAATCATCTGGAATGGACAAAGAGAGTGCTTTGGACAAATCTGACCTGAAAAAAGACAAAAATGATTACTTGCCTCTTTATTCTTCAAGTACTAAAGTAAAAGATGAGTATATGGTTGCAGAATATGCTGTTGAAATGCCACATTCGTCAGTTGGGGGCTCGCATTTAGAAGATGCGTCAGGAGAAATACACCCACCTAAGTTAGTTCTCAAAAAAATTAATAGTAAGAGAAGTCTGAAACAGCCACTGGAGCAAAATCAAACAATTTCACCTTTATCCACATATGAAGAGAGCAAAGTTTCAAAGTATGCTTTTGAACTTGTGGATAAACAGGCTTTACTGGACTCAGAAGGCAATGCTGACATTGATCAGGTTGATAATTTGCAGGAGGGGCCCAGTAAACCTGTGCATAGTAGTACTAATTATGATGATGCCATGCAGTTTTTGAAGAAGAAGCGGTATCTTCAAGCAGCAAGTAACAACAGCAGGGAATATGCGCTGAATGTGGGTACCATAGCTTCTCAGCCTTCTGTAACACAAGCAGCTGTGGCAAGTGTCATTGATGAAAGTACCACGGCATCCATATTAGAGTCACAGGCACTGAATGTGGAGATTAAGAGTAATCATGACAAAAATGTTATTCCAGATGAGGTACTGCAGACTCTGTTGGATCATTATTCCCACAAAGCTAATGGACAGCATGAGATATCCTTCAGTGTTGCAGATACTGAAGTGACTTCTAGCATATCAATAAATTCTTCAGAAGTACCAGAGGTCACCCCGTCAGAGAATGTTGGATCAAGCTCCCAAGCATCCTCATCAGATAAAGCCAACATGTTGCAGGAATACTCCAAGTTTCTGCAGCAGGCTTTGGACAGAACTAGCCAAAATGATGCCTATTTGAATAGCCCGAGCCTTAACTTTGTGACTGATAACCAGACCCTCCCAAATCAGCCAGCATTCTCTTCCATAGACAAGCAGGTCTATGCCACCATGCCCATCAATAGCTTTCGATCAGGAATGAATTCTCCACTAAGAACAACTCCAGATAAGTCCCACTTTGGACTAATAGTTGGTGATTCACAGCACTCATTTCCCTTTTCAGGTGATGAGACAAACCATGCTTCTGCCACATCAACACAGGACTTTCTGGATCAAGTGACTTCTCAGAAGAAAGCTGAGGCCCAGCCTGTCCACCAAGCTTACCAAATGAGCTCCTTTGAACAGCCCTTCCGTGCTCCCTATCATGGATCAAGAGCTGGAATAGCTACTCAATTTAGCACTGCCAATGGACAGGTGAACCTTCGGGGACCAGGGACAAGTGCTGAATTTTCAGAATTTCCCTTGGTGAATGTAAATGATAATAGAGCTGGGATGACATCTTCACCTGATGCCACAACTGGCCAGACTTTTGGCTAAAAAAAAAAAAAAAGTGTAAATAATACTGGCACTTTAGAACAGATTAATCAAGAGTGGGGTTACTCTGTGTAAATGGAGTGCTGTACAGATTTAAGAGCAATGCGTAATAACAAGTTAAGCTGATATGAATAGCAAGATAATCCAATAACTGCATTTCGTTTGGTTAGTCAGCATTCTTTGAACTGCCTTACATGTTGTCACCTTTATAGAAGCAATGCATTACTTGTTTTAGATCAGAAACTTGCTATTCCACCCACACCAAGTTAAAAAGGAAAAAAAAAAGACTTTCGCACAATTGTTTCCTAACTGATAACATTGTACATTCTTAGGAGATTAGTAATTGTGTGAAATTTACTCATACTGTTTCTAAGTTTTTCAGCATAGTCATTGCACTTCAGCAGGGAATCTGAGTATACTTTACAGACAGAGTGAACTTAAAAGTTTAATGTCAAGAGATTATGGCTTAAATAAATTAGTGTGTCCTATAGGGGGAAAAAAACCAAGAAACCACCTTTTAAAAAGAATGATATGCCATATACCCTTGATTTTCATTTTGCATTATATTGACGTGTTTTTTTGAAGGAAAAAAAGTAATAAAAATCTGATAGTCTAAGACTCCACTATTTAAAAGCCTAATTACTTTAAAAATATGCATACTTTCAGAACTTTTACCAAAACACACAACTGTTGAAGCAGTCACTTCTCTATGGAAGTATGCATATTGGTGTCAGTTTCTTTGTACAGTTGTACTTAGATATTTTTTATGATTTTTCATGTGCAGGTATCAAGGTTTTGAAGTTTTAGTAAAAGAAATTCTGTAGATTACATTCCCAAGAACATAATGCTTACACAAAATGTATATTCCACGTTTTAAAGCTTAATTGTATTTTACTTTACATATACACTTCAGTTAACATAGAGCACTTAGAATCTATTTGGTATTTTTGATTTCTCAAAGTAAAAAAAAAATTAGATTTTTAGGTTTGATATGGTTGTGTCATAATCATCTCGTAATTGACAATTTTAACTTTTGGCAATAAAAGGAAATTGGGATATCTTTGGAACTGTAAAACCTGGTTTAATCTTTTTCTTTCTAGACTCTTGATAGATTGGATAATTAAACAGTATCCAGAGAAACTAAAGAAATGGGCATTTTAATTGCATATTTTATCTTGAGTTACTTTTTAATGAACACTGCTCATTACAACTTTACAAACCAAAAGTGTTTACTAATTCCAGTAACTACCATTTCTTTTTCAGCTAGATGAGTGATCGGAAAATTTTTGTTGCATTTCAAAATCTAAATAAACTACAGACTTTATCCTTATACCATGAATGTTTTTTTTTAATACTCTGTCTTAAAATAATACAGCATGGTACAATAAATAGTGCTTTTATGTATATATACACACACACACTTTTCTGAAGAATGATGGTTTGAGTTATGCGTTGGGCAGTTTTGATTTTTGGAAGTTATATTAGTTATTGACTCTTTGTTACAACTTTTTCATTTTTACATTTTAAATTTTCTGCCATCGTTGTCACAATGCACATCCTGATATAGCACCAGTGAAAATCTAAAATTAATACCCTTGGAAAATGAAAATATTCTTAATTTCCATTTTGACTCTTATACTGGCCCTATAGCTCTGCAGTCTTTGTTTCAATATAGAATATGTTATCCATTTAAATTATTTTTTCTTTTATTTAATGTTATCCCAAGACTGTTCTCATAAAGAAAGGGAAGAAATAACTATCCACCCTTAACATCCTTCATTTATTTTGAATATATTGGTGTTTTTATGATAAGGAATATAAATTATATTTAATGTGGTTTCCTGTATACTTTGGTTATTAAGTTTTGCTTGAAATAGTAGTTTTCCCGTTTGACAGCTTTCTTTGCTGCCAAAGTTTTCAAGAATTTAAGACTTCTTTGAAGTAAATATTTAAGTTCTGCCATTATTGACTCTTAAGATTGTGTGTGTTGTGTTGTGCATTACATAATTACAAAAAGGCTTCATTCAGGTGATACGTTAAAAATGGAACTGTGCTCACCCTAAATAGGCATTGGTATTTTTCTCTTTTGGTGAGAGTAGGCATTTATTTCTTGAGTTGTTTTGGAGCCTGATCAAAAATTTTGTTCATGGAGAACTTGATGCAATTTTGATACAGTGGAGAGGTTTTTTTCGGTTGTTTTAACATCACCAGCATAGTTTTTAGAATGTGACTCTTGCTGAGCATTTAGGGTGAGCTTGGGAAGGAAGGCCTTTGAAAATGGTAGTTATGCAAGCAGACTTTCAGGTGTTGCATTCCTGTTTTCAACACATTTCTTTAAATCTACATAATGGCAGACTTTTCTACCAGGTTATAAGCAGTTTTTAGATAAGTGATACTCAGCCAGCATAACTTATTGACTTACCATTTACGTATAGTCATCACTCTCTTACTGTGAAATTCCAAATGCCTACCAGAGTTACCTTGTTCTATCATAATATGACAAACATCTCAACAGTTTTGGATTTCCCCACTTTGGTTCAGAAGGTTATTTAATTTCTATCTGGGCATTAATGGAGAAAATAAGTAGCCTTGTGTGCTGCTTCAGATTGAAACATGGAGGATATGAGATATTCTTCTGCAATTCATGTTTCTCATTTCTCAAAGTGAGCACATTGTTCTATAAAAACATGCTGGTACACCCTTAAACTTTTGATCAATCTGAGTGAGGTGTGCTTTTCCTCTTGGGACCTACTCACGTTTGAAGATTGGAAACATCACGTTAGGCGAGGCAGTATCTCTTGAACATCTTCTAAAGGGTTTTTTAAAACCTTATTCTCACATATTTCATTTGTCTTGAATATTTAAGTGGCTCTTAAACGTTTTGGGTCTACATGCAAATGTGGTACTTAACAAGGTAGGAATCCATCTTCTTAGCTCTGGCTGAGGGTGCCAGCCATCGGTCAGGTCATTTTTATCTCAAGAGGCAGAAGGCAGTTATGTCAAGAATTGTGCTCAGGGCAGGATTTCGTTTCCACAGAGGAGAGACACTTGCAGAGTGCCAGCTAGGTTAGATCTTTTGCCGCTTCTTTCATTTGATTAATTTGGGTTTTTAAAGGGCTGTTTAAAAAAAAAAAAAAAAGGCCGGGAAACTTTAAAAGTAGGCATTACTGTAGTACTGCATTTCTTAGAACATTTTAAACTAGAACTCATTTTTTTTTCACAGTATATTTACTTGAAGAAGCACTATAATAATCATTGAGAAGTATTTTGAGTCTGAAATTTAATTTAATTTTCCGTTTCAAATTGCTTTATTTCAGGGAAATAATTTTCCAGTTGTTTTGCTATATTCTGCAAATAAAAACCGTGTTTCCTTTTTTCACTTAAACTTTGGTAGGAAACAAACTAAAGCAGACAAACATTTCTTGTTATGTTTGTTGCTTTCTTTAATCCAATGGATAAAAAAGTAAAACCCTGTAAACATTATTTTATTTTTTTATGCAATACCATGCTGTAAATATGGTTCATCAAATAAGGATGTACCTATGATTGAATCTTTAATTCTGCACAGTTAGAGTTTATATATAAACGTGTCTTGACAATCAAGGACTTTTATGTGAGTCTTCCTTTATGATGTTTATTAATGTTATGCATTCCATTTGTTTTGAAGTGAGTACCAATGTGCTAATTTGTATTGTCTGAAAGTATGTAATGTTTTTACAGCTTGTTTTTAAGAATCTGTAAATATGTACAAACAAATCACAGTACTGCTTTATGTTAGAAGGCATATGATGTTGTACTGTATGTAAGCAATAATACATAGCAGTGCTAACTTTACAAGTAGCATCAGGAAAGTTCTAAAAACATTTCAGAGTTATTAATTATCCTTATTTCATTTAATAATGATTATCTTTAATCAGTTTTTATAAGCAAATTCCATTGTTCCTCCTATTGGAACGTAACACTGTTTACACAGCATAATTGAAGTTGCAGGGGAGACAGGCTAAATCTGACTTCATCTGTACTCACTTTCACTAAGCATTGAATGGCCTTACCACTCTTCTGCAAGATGGAGGAAGACCGCAAAACTTAGTGCCCATCACACTGAAGGAAGGGATGTGGTTTTTTTTCCTGCTTCTGTACTGCTACCTAACTTTGTGATTTGCTTTGGATTTTAATATTTGTTTCTGTTTTAGATTCAAGCCCGTAAGTTTTGAGGTGACTTCAGCTCCATTGTGAAATAGATAGTTCTCTTCATATTTCATAACTACATTTCAATAATTCTAAACTTTCTACATTGATTTTTAGATACTTATTTTTCAAGCTTGGTTTCTCAGCTGATCAGATGAATTTATTCAACTTCAATACAAAGAAAGACAAACCTATTATAGTTTCAAGTGAGTAGATATTATACTGTACAGGACAGCTATTTGAACACACACATCACTGCTTTAGAAATAAAACCGCCAATTTATAAATGTATATGACCTACATTTTATAGGAAAAAATGTTTTTAAATGCTAGTCATTTATATAATGTGCTTTGAAGGATTTGCTAGTCCACTTCTGTCACTTTTTAGTACACTGGTATCTTTTATATGTAATGTATGCTTTTTATTATTGTAGCAAAGCATTTCAGTAGAAAGAATTTTGCAACAATATGGGGGAAATTTTTCATTGTTGGATTTGAATTATACTGGATTTTATCTGTGTAGTCTTACTTGTCTTTATTTTAATGCTGTCTGAAGGGAACTTGGTATCCAAATAAAGCAGGTAACCTCATTTTACTTCAAGGGCATACTGTGTAGTGCTGAATTTAATCTGAAAATCTGATGATTTTGAAAAGAAAAACAAGTTTATAAACATTGTACAGAAGAAATTAAATGTGTGTGATGGAAATCCTGATGGTGGAGCACGTTGAATTTTCTGATATATAGTGTTATTTTCCTGGGATCCCCTATGCCTTCTTTGTATTTCAACTAATAAAGGAAAAACCCTGTCATTAAAACTGGTAAGATAATAGGATATTCTGATTATACAGTATTACTATTCCTATCCCATTTTCTGACCTTTTCTCAATCACTGTAAATTTTTATTTTCTATTTCCTATTGATAATTAAATATGTACATAATATAGACACTGTTGTATAGAACTAAATGAATTGGGTTGCTATGCTTGAGTGGGTAGTGAAATGGAAATATTTGATGAATACTGAGAGTTCCTAAAATGCTAGAGCAAATTTCCGAGGGAAAGGGGGGCATCGTGTGTCTTGGGAAGGTTGCAGCAGGTTGTTTCTTCAACTCCCTAAGAAATCATTGGGAAGGACTCAACTGCAAACTCGGGATCAGATACAAAATGGGTCTTTCCTTCCCCTCTCCCCCAAAAAATAGGAGCACTAAATTTTAAAATCTACTCAGGTGACAGTTGCTTTGCAATGAAACTTATCACATTGAAATTTTCAGTGTTAAATAAAAAGAGATTTGTGATATTTTTAAATATAAACTTTTACATCAGTAGTCAGCAGCCTGACAATTGAAATTTGGTAAGTCGATATATTTTAAAATATTTTGCTCTCCAAATAGAATTGTTTTTAAACAATTGGGAGGTTTTTTGTTTCTTTAAATATGTTTTAATTGTCATTGTAAAAACAAAATCTTGCTTGACCCTATATTATGCCATGAATGAATTGCTGAGCCTTTATAATACAGTGACAGCTTGTTTCATGCATAGTCATGGAACATAGAGATGTTCTTTAAACTGACCTATTGATAAGAGGTTTAATGAGTTTCACGGCTTTCAACACTATTGTCATATAGTTATCTTTGCCATTTGGAGTTTATAAAACCATTTTATGTATTGTGATACTAAAGGAAGTTGTTTTGCTTTACTTTAAATTGAATTATTAGACTAATATTTGCAAATTCTGCATTTTAAATGTGGACACTGGCTGTTTGAAAAATAAAATATAGAATACAGTTTTATGGATAATTTTCGAGCTGAATTTTTCACAATATTCTGAACCAAATAACGAATGGTAAATATGCAAAAATCATGGTGCATAGATATAACCGTAAAGAGAAAAGAATTTCTGTGTGGAATTAACAGTTACACAAATTGGGTAACAATTATCAGGGCCTTTATTATAGCTTTATGTGGAATGTTATTCTAAAATGCAAGAGTCAAATGTTACTGTCATTGAATATTTTAGACTTGAAACGTGTTTATCATAGAGCGAAGAAAATATGTGTTCTTTTCTTTACAGATAAGACTCTGTTAACCCACTGTCAGCATACGTGGGATTTCTTTTCTTTTTTCTTTCATTAGTGGAGATTTGTTTTCATCCATCTACCACCTTGCCAGTACCCTAGCTTGTGACCAGCGGGATGCATTGTAAGAAAGTTGTCTGTGGTTAGGAGTGCAGTCTGGGTCCATGGAACAAATTTAAACTAATTGGCCCTCGCAATGATCAGTCCTAGGACCCTGGCCTTATTATTAGCATGGTGCTTTAACCAATTGTACATAATAATACCACTGATAGTCTACTAATGCATTTCCTAGATCCCAGTTTTTCTTGAATGATTAGGAATGGTGGGGAGAGGGGAGGGGAGATATTCTACATGATACTTCTCCAATCTTCTAAAGATTATAAGAAAAAATAAAAAATTGAAGTCACTTGAATTAATGTGTTGTCATTGAGTCTTACTCGACAATTTATCATGCACAAAGTGATTATGAAGATTTTCCTGATTATATGTTTGGATTGAATTTAAAAATTTTTTTTTTCAGAATGCTGGCTGTTCTGTTTTATTTCTTCTCTGGTGAACCTGATAGGATATAAATTATATTCATATGATGCATAAAGAATGAATGGAGGTGAAAAGTTTTAAGTGAACTAAAGCTAAAATTTGGGTCTCATAATTTTCTTTCTTTTGTCATTTTCAAGTGTAATTAAAAGGAACATTTTACCCAGACATTCACACAGCTGCATATGCATATGTGTAAGAGCTGGGATGTGAAATGTGATATTGTAAATTAGAATGACATTTCAAAGTGATTTTCAAGTGACTGGGAAAACTCAAGTTTAGAAATGGACTTGAATTGTTAGAGAACATTTGAGCATTTGCATATTTACCTACTAATACAGATGAACTTTTAAAGTTGTAACCTTAATTTTCCCTAGCTTCTCATTCTTAATAAGGTTCTGAAAATAAGATGTTGTGTCAAGGTGGGGAAGGGAGCCAAAGAAATGCCTTGCCCAAGGTAGGAACTGTGTTTTCTATTGATCTGAGTCTTACTGGGGCCGACTTCTTTGACCCTGCGTTCATTCAGCACCAATCATCTATTTAATAACAGGCATTGTGCTCCATGCAAATAATAGGTGGTTGAGGCCATTAGCATCTTTATTTGACCATGTGAAAGGTATTTATAGTGTTATCAATTGCAGGTTGCAGTATTGTACTTTAGATTATTCAAGCAAACAATGAGTGTTAAGATGTGTTGAGTGCTATGCTGAGTAATATCATCCCTCAAACTTGTAAGTACATTTATTCCCTTTGTTAGGATAGGATTAGAAAATATAATCTTAATAAATTTCACAAGATAGAAAATATATACAGACTAAAAAAGTGGAAATAGGGAACATTGTCAAAAATTATACTCTACCTAAAGTAACAAAGTTAGGGATAGGATTCAAGCCTGGACTGTGGAAATGAGAAACAGACTTTGTTTTGAAGGAACTGACCTACCACAGGACTGAGGTTCACACACATTAGAGTGAAAATACACTAGAGGGTCACCTGTACCCCACTGCGGGGTTGGAAATGGGTGGTGAGAGATGGTTTCCTGGAAGTGGAGAAATAACTAAACCAAGGCTGATTCGTCATTCTAGCAGTCTTCATGGAAAGGTATTAATATTTTAAACACCTTGAAGTCATATGCTACTTGTTCAATCCTCCCAGACTACGATTATGTTTATGGTACTTCATGTTAAATAACTTCCAGCTGTCCCTTTGTATGATTCTCTTTCTCTTCCTTGGCCATTTCCTTCAAGGTATTTTGGCCTCTGCCAAACTTACCTTTTAAACTTCCGATATGGTAGTTTTCCCTATGGGAAAACTATGGAAGTTTCAGCACCATCACCCTAACGCAACTTTTGTGAAGACAGTATGAGGGTTAAGCCTGATTGCTAGATCACGAAATGGCTGAAAGAGGACACAGCAGAGTAAATGCATGCAGAGTGATTTGAGACCTCACAGAAGATGGCTGAGAGCAGTTTTGTGCGTTGTCGGGGGTGGGGGGGAAGGGGAGAGTAAACACAGAGTCTAGTAATATGTGTGTAAAAAATAGGGTTTCCTTTTTTTGTGGATTGTTTTATGTTTTTTTCGGGGGGAGGGGGATGGAGTCTTGCTCTGTGGCCCAGGCTGGAATGCAATGGCATGATCATAGTTCACTGCAGCCTTGTACTCCTGGGCTCAAGTGATCCTCTTGCTTCAGCCTCCTGAGTAGGTGGGACTACGGGCATGTGCCACCATGCCCCGTTATGTTTATTATGTTGTGTAGAGACAGGGTCTTGGTATGTTTCCCAGGCTTGCTGTTGAACTCCTGGTCTCAAGTGATCACCCTACCTCGGACTAAAAATATCCTTCAAGAAAATACTTCCAAGGCAGTATATCCAATGCTGCATGGGACAGCTTTAAATGAGCTATGCATGTTTTTTGTTGGGGATGATTGTGAGACAGTAGAGCTGTAGTTTGATAATATTCTATAGGCTGCATGGGCAAATAAGGGGCAGTGAAATAAGCAGAGGACTTAAGAGGATTAAATCACTGTTCTGCCTTGATCTATCTGTGTAGCCTCGTTCAAGTCACATATTTTTCTGAACCTCAACTTTTTCATCTGCAAATTAAGGGTAAAGAATGCCTATATGAATTGCTGTGAATGTCAAATCACTTGAGATAATTTGTAAACTGTAAAGTGCTAAATACATACCCTATTCAGATTTTATGTATTTATTTTCTTAAGGAGGTCTCGCTCTGTTGCCCAGGTGGAGTGTAGTGGCATGATCATAGCTCACTGTGTCCTCGAACTCCTGGGCTCTAGAGATCCTCTTGCCTCAGCCTTCTGAATAGCTGAGGCTTCAGGCTTGCTCCATTACATCTAGCTAATCTTTGTTTTATTTTTTATAGAGACAGGGTTTTTTTGTTTGTTTGTTTGTTTATGTTACCCAGGCTGATCTCGAACTCCTGGACTGAAGCAGTCCTCCCTTCTTGGCCTCCCAAAGTGTTGGGATTACAGGTGTGATTACACTGTGCCCAGCCTATCCAGATTTTGAAGCAGCACAAAAGCAAGATAGAGCAGAGTTGGACAAGTGTATTTACTGTATTTACTGTATTCAGTAAATACAGATTCCAAAGTATTTGGAATCTGGAGGGGGCGGGGTGGGAGATGAATAAGAAAATTAAAAAAACAAACAATGTGGAGTAGATTGTATTTCCCATATGCTCTTCTTACAACATGATGTTGGGATTCCTTCAAAAGGAGTAGAGTCTATGTTACCTCCCATTGAGCCTGAGTGGACTTTTTAAGTGCCCCAACCAATAGGAGAAATGGTGGAAATGACACTACATGACTTTGTGGGCTAGGTCCTAAAGGCAATAGAGAGCCTGGCTTCCTCACAATTGGAAGCTTCATCTCATGTAAAGCAGAACATGTAATAACTTTCACTTGCAGACAATATTATCTTTCAAAAGACTGAAGAAGATATGAGAGTCTGTCTGGATTTAATTGACCAACAAGGAATAACTAGTTAGTGAGGCAGAAGTGATAGGAATTTTGTAAATAAGTGATTACTTATCTCATAATTTGTGTTCACTGGGAAATGGAGTACAGCGTATTATAAAGCACATGCCCTAAACCTTAGAAACGCATAATCAAAAAACTTCATTAAAAAACTATGACTCCAGCCTGGGCAACATAGCAGAGACCCCCATCTCTCAAAAAAACTTTTAACACCCAGGTGTGGTGGTGCACACCTGAAGTCCCACCAACTCAGGAGGCCGAGATGGGAGGATCATGAGCTCAGGAGGTTGGGGCTGCAGTGAGCCGTGATTGTGCCACTGCACTCCACTCTGGGTGTCAGAGTGAGACCCTGTCTCAAAAAAAGTATGATTTCATTATCACATACACTGAACGGGATGGAACATTGTGGACGAAGTCTAAACAACACTGACATACATTGCCACAAATGAGAAACAATAAGCAGAAGTGTCATCCTACAAAAGTAAGGGAATATACTGAGGTGGAAGTCCCCACTTTCTCACTCCTAAGCTATTGGTTAGTCAGGAACGGGAACCTGGCTGACCCATGAGGCAAAAGCAAAATTATGGACAATGAGGTTAGGATGTTGGAACCACTTTTTTCTCTCTTCCTTTTTTTCTCTTACATTATTTTTCTTTCACTATTTCTGCCCCTTCTTTGCTATTCTTTTTATTTCTTTCTCCTGAGTGTCTATACCATAATCACAGGTATACATCGAATAGAAACAACCAGCAGATGCTATGTGATGAGTTTTGAAGCCCTGCCTCTCATGCAGGTTAGGTTTATTTGTTTTTTTTTTAAGTATTCATATTTCAGGAACATTCAAAACTAAATTGATCATCAGGAGAAGATTGTGAGACCCCCTGGATTAGATTGTAAGCTTCTTAAAGGCATTAAGTTCAGAGAGCATAAAGCTACCTCACACAATGAGCAAGTGTGAATGAATGAACAATGCTAGGGGGTACAGGAGGCATTCGGAGGGCTATTTGAAGGTATTAGAAGTGTGGTGGAAATTCAGTGGCATTAAGATGATGCTGTCATCCAGGAGCCTGGAAATGCCAGAATTCTGCACTCAATTACAACTCGCACTTGCCATAACCTTCAAAAAAAATTCCGTAAAGTGGCACACAAGAATCAATGGCCAGTGGGAAACAAGGCACCCTCTTAATACAATATGTGCTATGCCCATTTCCCAAACCCTAGTATAGAAATGAGCTAGAGGATGTGGCTGGAACTGTAAGGCCTCTAGAGCCACTTCCTTCCCCTTGGCACCTTACCACCTCGTGCTGACCGGGGCATCTCAGTATATGAGAATCGAATGAATAAGGAGTAGGATGGCCAGGACTCATCAGTGAGCAGGTGGGCCCCAGCCCTTTTCTCACTGCTCCAGTTGCATAGGAGCAAAGAAAAGAAGAAGCAAAAAAGAGACATGTCCACATGTGAGGCTTAGTAATGGAAAATGCTCACTGCTGGATGGGGTTCAGTAAGTATTCTATGATCTAATCAATCAGGCCACTCCTGGAGGGCAGGGCTTGTGAATATTTCTCAAATTCTTTGGAACCCTCCCTCCCTTTACTACTACCACAGCCCAAACCACCTTCAGGTCTTGCCTGGGTTTCTGTAAGTTCCTGTACATGCATTCTTCTTGGCCTCTGGTTCTTGCTCCACATAACAGCCATGCGTCAGAAGCTTCCCAGTTGTTACTTGGAGAAACATGGCATTCCTTACCTTGGCCCTGTGAGGTCATCTGCTGCTCGTAGCCCCCGCCTTCCCTACAGTAAGGCTCTCATCCTCTCTCCTCTTTC